>NC_000013.11:74165681-74317196 GCF_000001405.40 Homo sapiens | reverse complement strand
TGATGTTTTAGTATAAATAAATAAATAAATAAATAGTGATTAGGAAATGAGCTAACATACCGCCTGGTAAATTCTGAGATCGTTTATGTGCTGTGTTTTCTTCCAGGTCAAGCATTTTTAATGTAATTACTCATAATATGTTTAGCAAGAGCTCCACTTATTATGTTCAATAAACAAGCTGAGCCATAATCTATTAAAACATCAAACTTTAAATTATAGCTTATTCATAGTTATTAATGGAACAGTGTAAGCACTCCCCTTCCTGCTTGTGTTTATAATAGCCCATTCTAACACAACTGTCTAATGCAGCATGAGCTTTGTCTAAGCAGACTGTCAGTTATGTGGGAGGTTTCTTTTTTCCCTTCCTCTCTCTCCTTCCTTGACTGCTGTTGTTTGATAGATGCTGTGTGAGGGAGGATGTGTTGTTTGGTTGATGTGTGGTTAGTAAAGAAAGTACTGCCTTCTCAAATAAATGACAGAAATTCCTTCCTGACAAAAGAAGTGAACATTAGAAATGAACTCTCTGAATGTACTTGCGGTAGATAAACAGACCACAACCTTGTAAAAATACCTTGATTTCTCTATGATGAGAAGTGTCCATTAGTCACCAATGAGAGATAATCCCTAGGTAAGAACCAGTCTCAATTTTATGTGCTTCCCTGCTGCCACTGAAAGTCAAACCTCTGAAGATGTTCACTTTGCTCACTTTGCTCATGTATGTTGGGTCTGCAAGTGAAAAATAAAATACATGTATAGCTACTTATATGTGAAACACACAACTGAAATATTGTGTGGCACAGTTGGAGAGGCAGGCAAACCTTCCTAAGGAAAACTGTGGATTTGGTACTTAAAGAATCCTGGGCAGCATAGTGAGACCCCCGCCTCTACAAAATATTTAAAAAATTAGCCAGGAGTGGTGGTGTGTACCTGTAGTTCTGGCTACTTGGGAGGCTGAAGTGGGAGGATTCCTTGAGCTCAAGAGTTTGAGGCTGCAGTGAGCCACGATCATACCATTGCACTCCAGCCTAGGTGACACAGCAAGACAAAATCAAACAAAAAAAATAAGTCTGCCCCTAGAAAATATGAACACCAAGTCAAACTCAGAGCAAGTTTTTAATGACAGCTTTATTAAGACATAATTCACATGTCATACAATTTACCCATTTAAAGTATACAAGTCAGTGGGTTTTAGTATTTTTTTATTTCAATAGCTTTTGGGGTACAAGTGATTTTGGTTGGTACCTAGATGAATTGTATAGTGGTCTGAGATTTTCATGCACCTGTCACCTGAGAAGTGTACATTGTACCCAATATGTAGTTTTTTTATCACTCACCTCTCCTCCCAACAACCCCCCTTGTGAGTCTCCAATGTCCATTATACCCCTCCGTATGCCTTTGTTTACCCACAGTTTAGTTCCCACTAACAAGTGAGAACATATATTTGGTTTTCCATTCCTGAGTTACCTCACTTAGAATAATGGCCTCTAGCTCCATCCCAGTTGCTGCAAAAGGCATTATTTTGTTCTTTTTTATGGCTGGGTAGTATTCCATGTTGTGTACATACCACATTTTCTTTATCTGCTCATTGGTTGATAGGGACTTAGGTTAGTTCAACTTCTTTGCAATTTTGAATTGTGCCGTGATAAACTTATGCATGCAAGGTGTCTTTTTTTATATAATCACTTATTTTCCTTCGGTAGATACCCAGTAGTGGGATTGCTGGATCGAATGGTAGACTTCCTTTTAGTTCTTTGAGAAATCTCCATATGGTTTTCCATAGAGGTTGTACTAATTTACATTCCCATCAACAGAGTATAAGCATTCCCTTTTCCCCACATCCATACCAACATTTACTGTTTTTTGACTTTTTAATAATGGCCATTCTCCACAGCCAGCAGTATACTAAATGGACAAAAGCTGGAAGCATTTCCCTTGAAAACTGGCACAAGAAAAGATGCCGTCTCTCACTTCTATTCAACATAGTATTGGAAGCCCTGGACCGATCAATCAAGCAAGAGAAAGAAATAAAGGCATCCAAATAGGAAGAGAGGGAGTCAAAGTATCCCTGTTTGCAGATGACATGATTCTACATCTAAAAACCTTCATAGTCTCATCCCAAGAGCCCCTTAAAGTGATAAACGACTTCAGCAAAGTTTCAGGATACAAAATCAATGTACAAAAATTATTAGCATTCCTACACACCAACAACAGCCAAGCCAGGAGCCAAATCAGGAACGCAATTCCATTCACAATTGCCACAGAAAAGAATAAAATACCTAGGAATACAGCTAAGCAGGGAGGTGAAAGATCTCTACAATGATAATTACAAAACTCTGCTCAATGAAATCAGAGATGACACAAACAAATGGAAAAACACTCCATGCACATGAATAGGAAGAATCAATATCAATAAAATGGCCAGACTGTTTTTCCCAGAAGTTTTGCCTGCCTCTCCAACTGTACCACACAATATTTCAGTTGTGCCTTTCAGATATGGATTGCTATACATGTATCAATATCATTAAAATGGCCTAAAGCAATTTATAGATTAAATGCTATTCCTATCAAACTACCAATGACATTCTTCACAAAACCAGAAGAAACTATCTTAAAATTCACATGGAACCAAAAAAGAGCCCAAATAGCTAAGGCAATCCTAAGCAGAAAGAACAAAGCAGGCAGCATCACACTACCCGACTTCAAACTGTACTACAAGGCTATAGTAACCAAAACAGCATGATATTGGCACAAAAACAGACACATAGACTAATGGAACAGAACTGAGAGCCCAGAAATAAGACTGCACACCTACAACCATCTGATCTCTGACAAAGCTCACAAAAACAAGCAATAGGGAAAGGACTCCCTATTCAATAAGTGGTGCTGGGACAACTGGCTAGCCATATGCAGAAGATTAAAACTGGACCCCTTCTTTATACCATATGCAAAAATCAACTCTAGATAGATTAAAAATTTAAACGTAAAACCTAAAATTATAAAAACCCTGGAAGAGAATCTAAACAATACCATTCTGGACATGGGAACTGGCAAAGATTTCATGAAGAAGATACCAAAAGCAACTGGAACAAAACCAAAAATTGACAAATGGGATCTAATTAAACTAAAGAGCTTCTGTACAGCAAAATAAACTCTCAATAGAGTACACAGACAATCTACACAATGGGAGAAAATATTTGCAAACTATGTATCTGACAAAGGTCTAATATCCACATCTATAAAATAATTTACAAGAAGAAAACAACCCCATTAAAAAGTGGGCAAAGGACATAAACAGACACCTTTCAAAAGAAAACACATATGCAGCCAACAAGCATATAACAAAAAGCTCAATATCACTGATCATTTGAGAAATTCAAATCAAAATCACAATGAGATACCATTTCACACCAGTCAGAATGGCTATTACTAAAAAGTCAAAAAATAACAAATGCCAATGAGGTTGCAGAGTAAAGGGAACACTTATGCACTGTTGGCAGGAGTGTAAATTGGTTCAGCCATTGTGGAAAGCAGTGTGGTGATTTTCAAAGAGCTAAAAATAGAAATACCTTTCGACATTACTGGGTATACGCAAAGGAAGATAAATTATTCTATCGTAAAGACACATGCACATGTATGTTCACTGCAGCACTGTTCACAAGAGCAAAAACATGAAATCAACTTAAATACCCATAAACAATAGACCAGATAAAGAAAACGTGGCCATATACACCATGGAATACTATGCAGCCATTAAAAAGAATTAGATCATGTCTTTTGCAGGAACATGGATGAAGCTGGGGGTCATTATTCTTAGCAAACTAATACAGAAACAGAAAACTGAATACCCTATGTTCTCACTTATAAGTGGGAGCTAAATGATGAGAACACATAGACACAAAGAGGGGAACAACAGACACTGTGGGCCTACCTGAGTGTGGAGGGTAGGAGGAGGGAGAGGAGCAGAAAAAATAACTATTGGGTACTAGACTTAGTAGCGGGGTAACAAAATAATCTGTACAACAAACCCCTAGACACAAGTTTATCTATATAACAAACCTTCACACGTAGCCCTGAACCTAAAATAAAAGTTTTAAAAAATAAAAAATAAATAGTAGTCATTCTAGCTGGGGTGAGGTAGTATCTCATTGTTTTAACTTGCATTTCCCTGATGATTAGTTATGTTGAGCATTTTTCATGTTTCTTCGCATTTGTATGGCTTTTTTTGAGAAGTGTCTATTGATGTCATTTGCCTACTTTTTGATGGGATTATTTTTTCCTTTCTGATTTGTTTGTATTCTCAAAGAGAAAATTTAAATTGCAATGTTTTAGAGTCTGAAACCTCTTGCTTAATTTTGCATAATGTCTGGTGTGAAATGAATAACATTATATATTACATGATTCTGGAAAGATTCAACAATTATGAATCTGATTACAAGGTGAGAGGAGGTTGCTAGAGAAACTGCAGAAGATGAGAAGCCATTTGAAAAAATAACTGTGAAGGGTCTCAAAATCCAACCTTCCTTAAGTTTAATAAGAAAGCTTCTTTCCCCCAGCCCCCAAATACTTTCCCAATTCATTCCAAACACCAACTAAAAATTAAGTTATAGCTAATTTAGTAAAAGTAATAATAATATTTTTTAAACTTTCAAAAAACCATGTTTTCTGTAGGACAGGCAGTAATAAAGAGGACTAGAAGAGGCAGATAAACATTCACACATGCACACATGCAGACACATGTATAAAAGAAATGGAAATGATTATCAACTGTTATCATTATTCTTCGCTACCTACGATTCTCATTTAGATAATAAAATGGAAAGTGAGGTTGGCATATCAATATCTAGAAAGAAGAATGAAATTAATGATGTTTAGAAAATGGTTTTACTTTTCAATAAAAATAAATTTTGCAGCAATGGGTAAAATATTTAAGCTGGGTTTTTTAAAAAACTAATTCATCAGTCCTGGGGTTGTTTCCTTACTTATACCCCAGATTCAGAATGTTAACTGAAATTGTAGAGAACTCCTAATTCTCTGTCATTGATTTAAAATCTGTCTTGTTTCATTTTTCCATTTAACAGAACCTTGGTGTATTAGTCAGGGTTCTCTAGAGAAACAGAATAGAATTTGTATATAGTATATAGAAAATGATTTATTTCAAGAAATTGGCTAACATAATTACAGAGGCTGGCAAGTCTAAGATCTACAGGGTGGACCAGCAGGCTGGAGACTGAGAAGGAGGCAATGTAGCCATTCAAGTTCAAAGGCCGTCTGCTGGAAGAGTTCCCCCTTCTTCCAGGAAAGGAACTGATTCTAGTATCTATATTCTGGAGGGTAATCTGCTTCCCTCAAAGACTAGTAATTTAAATGTTAATCTCATTAAAACATACATTCACAGAAACATCTAGAATAATATTTGACCAAATGTCCGGGTACCGCCGTTGACTACCGAAATGGATACATAAAATTGACCATCACATTTGGTAATCCAGATACCTGCTGGAAGTGATATTACACTTTTTATTTTATTCTGCTTTCCAACCTCTTTCTTTCAAAGCTCTTAAAATCATTAACATTATTGGCCTAGAGGAAAAGTTTGTGCTTAGAAATTGCCATAAATGGCATGCCTCAGAAATCATCTTTGAACTGCGCAATTTCAGTTACAGTTGGCACCAAGAAACACTAGTTTTTAATGTCTTGTGAGTGTTTTAGAATTTTCTTAACCAAGTTGCCTAGAATCTAGTAAAAGAATTTTTGGAAACTCTTATTTTTACATCACATCCTCTATCTCTGAGGCATCTCTGAAATGGTGTGCAGTCTTCAGGTTTTTTGTTTATTTCTTTAAGGATCCTTTAGCATTTGCTAAATTTCAAACTTCTTTTTATTTTTATATAAGTAAATTGTATTATTTCATTTTTATACAGGTGATGCTTCTAAAACCTTAATTTTTTCTCACTTAATAAAACAGATTATTTTGGTCTATTTGTAATAACTCTTATTCCAACGGTTTCTAATCATCTTTGAATTTTGACAATAATTACATGTGATTAACAAATGCATTCCATTGTTTTTTCATCTATGATATGTATGAATTAAGTCCAGTATAATTAATCTTGTTTTGAGAGCTTTCACAATAACTTTTATTAGGTTGGTGCAAAAGTAACCATGGTTTTTGCAATTAAAATTAATGGCAAAAACTGCAATTACTTTTACACCAACCAAATATACCCAGACACACTCATATACCAAAGCAGTCCTCAGAATTTACTGTGTTGAGTGCTAGCCATGCTGTAGCCTTGGTAATATCCTCTGTATTCAAGAATTACAACTGTATAAGAGTTGGCTCCCTGGAAATCCCTAGAATTCTTAGAAAGCAAAGGTTATGGGCATATATAAGTTTAAAGTGAGAAGATATTATCCATACCAAATCTCTCATCTTCAAATGAGCAGACTGAACCCTGATGATATGGTTTGACTGTGTCCTCACCCAAATCTCATCTTCAATTGTAATCCCCAGGTGCTGAGGGAGAGACCTGGTAGAAGCTGTTTAGATCATGAGGGGTGGTTCCCCTTATGCTGTTCTCATGATAGTGAGTCCATTCTCATGAGATCTGATGGTTTTATAAGTGTTTGGTAGTTCTTCTCTTGCATGTTTGCTTGCTCCTTCTCCCTCCTGACACCACATGAAGGAGGTCCGTGCTTCCCCTTCGCTTTCCACCATGATTGTAAGTTTCCTGAGGCCTCCCCAGCCATGCAGAACTGTAAGTCAATTAAACCTCTTTCCTTTATAAATTACCCAGTCTCAGGCAATGTGAGAATGGACTAATACACCTGAGAAGTAAAGAAACATGGCCGAGGTATAGGTTCATAAGACCAGGAGCCAGTGATTTGGATAGCCTTCCTTGCTCTGTTTCTGAGTTGAAGACTGGCAAGTTAGTTAATTAGGTGGCACTACAGCCTTTTTACTTTAAAATGACAGTTTTGTACCTCGTAGGGAAGATGTGTCTAATGAGTCAACTTTAAAACAATTTCACTTACCTAGAAAATAAAAATAATTGAATATGTGCCAGTGTGAAAAGTAGGAAAATGATAGCTAAACTCTTTCCTGCCAGTGCTTTGCTAATCTTTTGCTAATTATTCATTATTCTTGAGCCTCAGTTTCCTCTTTAGAGAAATCAAAACTGATAAGTAATACCTGATTAGTTTTTTCTGGCATTTACCCACTAAGAATGTAATGGCAATATAAATACATAAAAACACAAGCTGAGTATCTGGTAACCATTTTCAGAATTTGATCATCCCATATAGAAAGTTAGAAGATACTATGTGAAAAAATAGACTATCTTGTGTGAATTTCTGTACAATTTTTATTTTAAACTATTTCATGTAAATTTCTATGCCAATTATATTTACTTTCAAACAAGCTTCTCCAGTGACAAAAAAGTGATCATGATATATATATATATATTATATATAATATGGATACATACACACTTGCATTACATATACAGTAAGACTCTTCAACTTGATCTATAAATATGACAATATTTTCCATGTAAAATGTTTTAGTTGATCTCCAAGTTATATAGACAAATATTTTGCATGTTTTATAGGTACATATGATAACTATACTACTAGTAGTGGTCATCATTATTCTACTGGGCTCATTTGGCAAAAATAGTACAAACCTCACCAGAACATGATTTAAAAAATTCAATTTTAAGTGTGGGGTCAATTATTGTGAGAGTAGCAGTTGTTAGCCTCAGCTCCAGTGAGCTTCATCTGCTCTTTATTTCACTAACTCACTCCCCTATCCACACTCTGCCTAGGTGTTATGTACTGAATTGTGTCCTCTCAAAATATCTATGTTGAAGTCAATGGGTAACCACTGGTTTACCCAATGTGACTGTATTTGGAGATAGGGCCTTTAAAGAGGTACTTAAAGTTAAATGAGATTATAAGACTGGGGCCCTTATCCAATATGACTGATGTCCTTGTTTGATGATGAAGAGATGCCAAGGATGTGCACACACAGAAGAAAGGCCATGTGAGGGCACAGTGAGAGGGCAGCCATTTGCAAGCCAAGGAAGGAGGCTTTGGGAGAAATCAACTCTGCTAGCCTCTGGATCTTGGACTTACAACCTCCAGAGCTGTGAGAAAATAAATTTCTGTTCTGGAAGCCACCAGTCTGTGGTGTTTTGTTATGACAGCCCTGGCTGACTAATACGCTGGATATGATCTTTAATATCATGAGTTCAAACTCTTCGTTTACCTTGACAGCTTGTCCTTCCAGCTCACCATTTTTAACTCCCAACACCCTACTCGTTAATAACATATCTTCTCTGTTTTCTTTTAGAGGCCCCTCTACTCCAGCTGCTCCTTCAATGTTAGTGTTTCCAGGCTTGCACCTCAACCTCATTCTCTTCACATTATGTACTCTCTCATTGGGTGATCTCATCCACATTCATGGCCCCAAAAACAATGCATCTGCTAATGTCTACCAAATGTACTGCCCCATCTCTGATCCTTGATTTCTTTTCTGAGCTCTAGACGCTAATATAATTGACATTTTTATCTAGATACTCCAACAGCATAAAAATGGAACTTTACCAATTAGCATGCATCCATGAAGCTTTTTTCTTCAATGAATGAACAACCCTCCATCTGTTTGTTAGGACTAAAAAACAACTTACAAATTATCCTACCTAGATACTTCCAGTTTATTTCCCTCTCTTGTTTTCTTTCTCTTTCTCTCTCTTACACACACACACACACACACACACACACACACACACACATACTGTTGAGTCTATAGTCTGTTTCATTCCATCTCCAGTTACTTTCTCTAAATATCACTACTCTTCTCCATGCCCCAAGAGGCTAACTTCTATTTACTGCAACACCCAGATTTTCTTCTCAGTGGCTACCCATTGGATTCAGTGTCTGATAACAGACCTTGCCCAGTAACAACTTCCTACTGATGTGGCTCCTTGGGTGCTTCACCTTCCATTGTTGATTCCCTTAACCCCATCCACACCTGTGAAAATGGTTTTTTCGGTAAACTCTCTACCATTACGCTTTTTGAAAGTGCCATCTGTTTCCTGCCGAGGTTCAACTGAAATACATGTAAGCTAACTGGGATCTCTGGTTCCAGTCCATTCCTATGCATTCCAGGCTACTGCTAGACTAATACAGCTTAGCTACAAATCTGATTATAGTTCCTCAATGACCTAAAATAGTTTCAAGTTAAAGTCCATATCCTTTAGCTTAGCTCACAATGGCCTCCATGATGTGTTCATATCTATTGATCTAGCTTTATCTTCCATACCACTCTTTCTTTCCATAAACAGAACACTATTTTCTCTTTCTCAAACAAACCATGCCTTCATTCCTCCTTGCCTTTACATTCTGTTTTCCTTTTACAGAATTCTTTACTCCCTCTCTTCAGCTAGTTAACCCTATGTCTTCAAAATTCAGCTCATATGCCCCACTTCTTGGCTCTTCCAGTCTCAGTTAGAGGCCCATCAATGTATATACACCTATCATATTTTTATCAGACTTTAATAGTAATTGTGGAATATTATTTTTCTCCCTCCTCGTATGAAACATCTTGAGGGCAAGGGATAGATCTTATTTTACTCTGTAAATCCTAGCTACAAAACAGAGAGATTGTGACTGGTTTATCCCTTCCTTCCTCTCAGTGGAGAAAAAATAAGAAAGAGTTCTCTCTTCTTTTTCTCTCCCTTTCTCCTCATCACTATTAGAAATGTTCATAAATATCTCAAGACCATAATCTAGGCCCCTGAATCCTCAGTATTACTCTACACAGTAAAAAAAAAAAAAAAGGATGACTAGCTATTCTTGGAGACCAGAGGTCTAAGGAACAATAGTAGAAAGATATTCCTAACAATAGAAGAAAGGTAACAGGCTCAGCAGCCACTCCTTCTCTTGCAATAGGTAGATTAGCCTCCTCCAAGGCACGTGGCTGAGAACCCATGGCTGAGAAGGGTCTGAGAGGAATAAGAGAGTATTTACAGCCCAGCTGAGTAGCCCAGACATGCACTAGAAACATAGTTCTCAGTTCCCAGCCTAGAGGATTTTTTAGGGTATTTGTGTATGTATTTGCTTATCTTTTAGAGACTAGACAGTCAAGTTCTTAGGAGAGAGAAGACATGAGATACTTTAAAAAGCCACTAATTCAGTCACTTTTGTCATCATTCTGCTCCTCTGTACTCCTAAATTTGAGAGAGACAGAATCAGAGATAAAGAAAGTCACACAGAGAGTGAGCGAGAGAGAAATTAACATTCGATAGTAATGTGACACTGTTGTCATTTCTTGAATGATGAATCTAATTGTCCAAATGTTCTACTTTTATAACAAGAGCATTTTCCCTACATCAAATGCTTCCCCCTCAGGCAGGAGAGACTGGTGCAGCAGTGGTGCAGGATCTAGCCATTGTCCTATCACTTTCACTCAGTCACTTAAAGCTCCTCACACTCTCAAATTACACACATGGTTTTGGTTTGTAAATCACCATGGTAATAAGCACGACATAAATAACTCATAGAGTTCAAAAGAAAATAAAACTAACAATGACAATGAATAATTAGGAAGTAAGGACTTTGTGCACTAGTTCCAATTAAATTGCTCAAAATAAATAAACACACTTGTGCTTTCTCAAATCTGTGGGTGCTAGTCCTCTTTGCCTAGAGAGAATAAAGACAAAATAAATAATAGAAAAACAGATGTATTGATTCAAATATAGTTTTAAAAATAAGAAAGATGGTCTGAAGAGTAAGAAGGGAAATAGCCATTCACAGAGTGATACTCTGCACCCTCAAGAAAAACAAGCCAAACGAAAAACAAGGCTTTTGAAACAAATAGTTTTAAGACAATAATTTCCCAACAGGTTAGAGTTAAACACAAAACTAGGGACTAAAGTGGAGATAAATATGCATAAGAAATGGTTAACAATGTTTTGTCAGCTCAGCCATGACAACATGAATGTAGAAAAAGTCTTTCTTTCAATATTTTGGCCATAGCCTGATAAAGAACCAACAGGGGTTTTCACACAGCACCTTAAAAGCCTGTCTTATCCTTGGGGTTTCTGCAGCCAATGAAAGTTTGTCACGATGATGTAATGCTCCTGAGTTGTGTTTCAGCACCGACTATGTGGTCACCGGGTATCATGCCTGAGAGCTAGGTAAGTTTTTGGATCAAATCTTTCTTTCCAGCCTTTTCCCCTGCTTAAACTAATTTCAGCAGAGAGATCATTTGTTTCTGGTCTATTTTACTATCTCTGAACAATTTTTTAATGTGGGCTGGGTTATCAGAGAATTGTAGAGACAGCTGGTAAACAAAATGATGGGATCTTAGAGTCAATTTTCCTCTGTTATTAGTGTGAAGGCTTTTACTCCCCAGCAATTTATCATCACTTCAGAGGAAAAGAGCAGCAAATAGTGTTATGTTTTATTTGTTAAGGGAGCTCTAGTCATTTGACAAACAAGTTTTACTAGAGAGATATTTTCGGGGAGACGAAAAATATTTCTTTTTAAAGATTGACACTGAATTTTACTGATATCATTAAGTGACCCCCACTGAACTGTAAGCAGTGGAATAAGTTTCAATGTTTTTTATAAATAGAGAATATGTAATTCCTGCCCTCACAGATTTTAAACCTAAAAAAAAGAGAGAGTAAGACAGCACACTAATATTTTTTCCAATTTTTATTTAAGTTAAAAACAATTTTAAAAGGGAAAAAACAACTAAATATGTAGTGACCCTCTGTGGCCTGACAGTTATATGAAGTTAAATGAAGAAAAATTAGATATCAGTAAATAAGTCAGTTTCAGTACCTGGCTGTACAGATGTTTTCCTAAACAACTTTTTAAAATGTAGAGCATTTAAAAATTTTGGATTAGGTAACCAGCAAAAGCAACGGAAATATAGCACTTTACTTTTTCTCTATGGTATCCTCTGCAGATGTGGAGGTTTTAAAAAACTGTTATTGATATCAGTCAAGCTGTGGATTTCTAGCAACATGAAGTACAGAAAACAATTATCCAGATAATTCAAGATTTATGGGGGAAAATACCCTCAAAATTGTTACTGGGGAAAAGAGAATGAGTGGGGAGAAGGGAGGAGGTTAATTATGCATTACCAGCTACACTGATTGAACTACCCAGATGGTTACCATCTTTCACCTTAACTCTGACTGTATAGACACAGATTCTGAGAAAGCCATCTTAAATAAGCGTGTGGAAGAATTATCCTCGGCAATGCGGAATGACAGAAAATGTCTTGTAGAGTTTCTAATAAGAAAAATATTTTTTCTTGTCTTGTAGAACTTGATGTCTGATAGGTCCTAATGCATGTATTCTTTTATCAAAAACTTCACAACTCTCTAACTTGCAAGCTCCTTTTCTCTACCCTCAGCTGAGTTTACCAATTACACTTCACTTTCTCCTACATCTTCTTTCATTTTACCCTCCAATGAACTGGGCCGTCTCCCTACCATACTATCTAAGTAATAAACACGTACTTCACCCCTTACATGAAATTATCGTCCTTTCTTTGTTCCACAGTTAATTCATTTTTCTCTCAAATTAATAACTGCAATGCCAAATAGCTTATATTTTTTAAATTTTAAGTTAAAAATATATTAGCATAATATAAACATAACTCATTTTCCATTTTTACCCACAAATTTTCATGTCATTGCTTTGGTGCTGTAATTGATACTGACATGAGATTTAAGAGATAAAACTCCACATTTCAATAGCATCCTATGCTTTGCTTTCTACATCATAAGTTCTGAACAGGGAGGCAACATGGTTACAAGAAGGTCCGCAAAGTACTGCTCTAGAATTGAGTGAATGAGTGAGCAACGCTTCAGAGTGACTGATGAAGAGAAAAAAAATTTCCACAAAAAGAAAAACAGTATGGATAAGGTGGAGTACAGTGCAAACGATATGAAATTATCTGGTTTCTGATACAGAATTTTTGGATGTGGGCCCTTGGTCAAGGCTGAAAGCCTGTGCCTTTATCACAGAGCTGCAGCCAGTGTACTCACTAGGCTTGGGTTCCGAAAAATCACAGCATCCAGCTAGAGATGGAAAGGGATCAGCATGGAGTTATGCACCCTCATTAGCCTGCAGAGTGGGCCCTCGGAAAGGCCTAGGAGGAATCTGCTTGGGGTTCTGCTTGACCTAGGAAACCTCTTTGATTCTCACTCTGAGATGCAACTGTGCCGCACAAGACAGGATTTTTTAAAACAATGTTTTAAAGGGAACATATTGCTTAAGAAAAGTCCTTAGGGCATGATCTGAGCACTGACATGGACAAATAACGCACCCTTCTGATAAATCCTGATGACAGAGTGGGCCTCGGAAAAGACAATTCAAGGTAGAGCTCCAATTCCAGCATTTCTGAAACCAGGAGGATATATCTGAAAGAATACCTAGAGGATTTGTGCGTTGACAAAGTCTGGTAACGCAGAGAATAAGTTACTGGTTGGTGAAAATCTATTATAGTACTCTACTGTATACCACAAAAGAGGTGTTCAGTAAAAGTCATTCCGTTTTAAGGACAATCTCTTTTTAAATATTTCACTTTCCATTTCATCAAAAAAAGTATATTTTCATCAATAGCATCTTTTATAAACAGAAATGGTCTGAGCTCGTTTAGTTCTTTACCCTACCCATTTATATGATGGAGAGGAAGGCCCACTGGGGTCACTATTAGAAAGAAAGAATGACAGGTATACAAAGAAAACAGAAGTTAGCTATGCCCTCCAAGGTGAATACTGGGAATAGTGTACTCCCAAGATACATAGAAAATGTGGATGTGAAAGCATATGGGAATAGGAAAGACAGGAATTCAATAGTCACACTCGATTATAACTCCACAGTGAAGGTTCTTGGGGCAACTGCCATGTGCCAAGCATGAGATAAGATGCAGACGACACAAGAAGAAAAAGGCACCATTTCTATACTCAAAGAGCTTTCAGTTCTCCTTAAATCAAGTCTTGAAGAATAGGCTAGATATTGGTCAAGTGTAGGAAGAAAGTATGGTTAAAGGAAGAATGACCATACATCCACTTTGCCAAAGATGGTCCCAGTTTATGCCTCTTGTCCTGGTATAACAATCAATACCACTTGGCGTCATTTTCAAAAGTGTCCTGGCTTGGCCTTTACAAATAGGGAACGATTGAAAGGTTTAAAAATGAGTTTAAAAAAATGAGTTAAAGGAGGAAGACTGTTAATTCAGGCAAGAAAATTAGGAGGCCCTGACCCAAGGCATGGATCATGGTGACAGAGAAGAGCACACAGCACTCATTTCCCCTTTTCTTTTGGAAGCAGCACCCCCACCTCCTTTGGCAGAATTTCCCCTCTCCTTTTAGAAGGTGTCCCTGTGAATCAGAAGGCTGAGGGCTCCCTGCTTTCTCCAAGCCAAGCAGTCACATTGGACATGTGAGCAATGGGACACTCTCTCCTGGAATTTTGTCCCTTGAGCGGAATGATGAGAAAAGTGGGAGGGAAACTTGGCGATGATTCAGTCTAGCAGTGGGGACTGACAATCCCAACAAGCAGTTTCTCCAACGGAAAATGCCATAACACCACGGCCCCTGTCATCTCCAAGTCAGTTTCTTCAGTCTTCCTTTTATTCTGTAAGTTTCCTCATGGCCCTCCAATAAATATTCCTTTAGTTTAGTTTGGTTACAGCTGCTCACAACCAGAGAACCTACACTGATAACTGTAATTGCCAATATGCAGTATCTACATATGGAGGAGACAAACTAAGAACAAGTGAGGTGACATGCTAACCAACACTGTCTTTTTCACTCTGTATCTTATCCATTATTTTTGTAAGTGAAGTTCACACCATCATCTCCATCACTTTAATATAGTTTTTAAAATGCTGTTTCTGCTGCATTACTTATTTTCCAATCATCACATATGACTATATACATAGAAATGGGGTTTGCTTTGTGAAAAGATAATTGTTGGTATAGAACTTGGAGGTCCTGCTTCTGCCCCTGAAAGTTCAATAGCCTAGGATTTCTGTTTTCTTGCTTCTTACGATGGCCCCAGTGCTACCCAGGGGCTGCAAAAACCAAAGGCTAAGATTTCATTTAAACCCCAAACCAAAAACATCCTTCACAGATAGATCTTTTCCTGGAGGTTATTTGTCATTGAAATGAATGTCCCTGGGTGATCAGAAGTAAGTTTTTATTGTGGTATTATTCTCCTTTAAACCCTTCAAGGCATGGAGCTATGCCTCTGCAGTTGTAACACGGGAGAGGGTGCTGGGCGGTCATTTAACACGGGCAGCTCAGGTAGGGGGAACAAATGAAAATTGGGGCGGGCAAGAATACTGCGATTGGTTGGATTCCAATGCAGCGTACACTCTAACGCCCTGAAATATGGGATGCAGGAGTCTCCACAGATGCTCCCTGCTGCAGTTCTTGAAAGGCAGGAACAAATTTAAACTGGGTTTTGTGAAAACAAATGACATCATTCCTGCATACTCTGAAAAGCTGCAGCCCCAATGGAACATTTTCTCGTTTTCCCCTTTGCTCTTCTGTGTCTGACTGCAGGGCTTCAGGATTTTATGCTGCATGTTTAACTGGCTAGATCTTGCAGGGAATAACCTTTCATCACTTGCCTCTAAAAATAATAAAACTCACGAAGAAAATATAGAGGCCTGTAAAAGTTCATTTAAAATCACATTTAATCTCCATGTGGCTCTTATCTGAAGATATGACAGCACATGGGAAGAATTCTAGTGATTTGAAAGAAACAATAACAAAATGCTGTATTGGGGACTGTCATCATGGAAATTATGGCCCTGACTTATTTTGGGTGGACTTTATTGTACAGTGTTCAGTGCTGGTGATTAGGAGAACTAGGATTTCCATTTAGGGATTTTTCTGGGTTCACATTGTTAACTGCAAAAGTAATCAGGGATCTGGTACATTTAAGACAGTCAGCTAAGGGCCATATTGAAATACTGTTCTAGATGTACTGTTCCTCATTGCAGATGTCTACAAAAATAAAATAAAATAAAAGGTAGGTGAGTCAGAAAGTTTTTTAAAACAGCAAGTTAGCTGATTTTTAGAACATGGCTTAAGAAGCTAAGGCACTTAGAAATATAATAGTGAATCTTCAACATACCAAAACCTGATGGAAATTTTCTCATGAAGATAATATTTGCTTAATCATTGTCCTAAGCCAAAGGATGTCCCAGGAAGTTCTCTATTTGTCAATGTCAGTCTGTAAGAGCAACTGCTTGAATAAGTACTGTGAGAGTCCTCCAAGACTCAAAGCCTACCTTGTTTTCTCAATCTCATCCCAGGAACCCAGGCCTAACTGTTGACTTCCCTTAAATCAGCTTCCAGAGATAATTCTGAAAACTACTTATCTTTATTGCAAATGATTATTAAAATCTTTACAATTCAAATTTCCTCAATATTACTATCAGATGGCAAACAGAAAATTAATCTCAAACTGCAAGGATGAATTTTATATAAAAAGCTATACGCGATGACTTCTAGACTAAGCCCTGGGCATGACATCTTTTACTCCTCAAACTTGCAGTGATCTATTTAGGAAGCAGTGGCAAGGTGATGGTTGTCTCTCTCATTGAAATGAAACCAGCCCAGAGACAGATTTAAAGAGAAATGAAGAAACAAGTCCATCCACCCACCCCTACCACACCTTCTTTGAACATGAATTTTACAGCTTTGTCCTTGATTCTTGCTTCTATATAATCTCTTTGACCTTCAAACCTTAGAGGTCATCTTTAACAACCCCATTCTTGTTCATGTTATTATGAATTAAACAATGGCTACTGTGTAGAACCAAAGACAGAAATATGCCAGCAATCAAGAACAATCTCTAAAACAAATAGAGATAGATGTATGAGTCAGGAAGCCAATAGACTATTTGATTAAATAAACACTTTTTTTTATTATCAAGGATGATAGCATTTTTTATTGCCCTCTTGTTGAAATTCCCCTCTCATTCTAAAAGAAAATTTTAAAATATTTTTTCTGCGTAAGTTCCTCTATTCAATTATCTGAATTTTTTTAAAGATGCCCAATTAGCTCCTCTCATAGGATAAAAGGTGATTTCCCCTTTTTACAATGGTTTTTTTTTCCATTAGGGATACTCTTTACATACAGGGAGTCTGCTTTCTACGTCCCAGGCTGGGAAAAAGAGAAGTGAAAACTTTTCAGCATTTCTCTACTTCTTTCTGAACTTCCAGAAGCCTCTCCTCTTCCTCTTTCTTATTTTGTCTTTCTTTCTCCTTTCCTGAACTGCTGGCGCTGAAGAAACAGAGCTAGAGGCTTGGGGATGCAGTGGCTGCTTGGGCCCTCCATTGGCCCAAATAATACTTGAGCCTTAAAAAAGGAGAAGAAGAAATAGAAAATAGGAACACTACTTGAAAATTTTTTAGTTCTGCTTCCTCTGCTTTAAATTCACTCCCTGGCATGCCCATGCTGCAAGTTTTTCATCAAAACTCTCTATGGCAGTTCTTCAAAAAATATGTCTTATTAGCCCTTAACGCTAGGAAAGTTTATAAAAAGGGGGGAAAGTATTAAGAGATGTAAAGAAACCTGAATTCCATTTGCTTCTGTTGATCATTGCTGTGTAACCTAAGTCAGGTTGATATTATTTGAAAAACAGTGGAAAATCTACAATTAATGAAATCTGCCCCAAATTTGATAGAAAATATTGCCACAAAACTGACAAAATTGTGTATATCCACTCCAATTTATGAAGTAAGCAAATAAAAAATATTGTGAAAGCATATATAGGGTGAAAGGACAGAAAGTCACCAGCAAAGCCTGAGCCAGGTCACATTGCTCTTCCACTCAGAATTTCCCAGTGGCTTCCTGTCTCTCAGAGAATGTCCAGTGCTCTTGCAAAGGTCTGCATTTCTTTCTGTACTCTACTCCACCTTCCTGTCAGACCTCCACTTCTCCCCGCTCTTTCTCATTCACTCAATTCCAGACATACTAAACATGCTGCTATTTATTGAACCGCCCAAAACATGTGTCAGCCTCAGGGCCTTTGCATAAACCAATTCCCATACCTGGAACAGTGTTCCTGCAGATGGGCCTATGTGGGCACCCGCATTTCCTTCAGATCTTGAATTTCTGTCTGCCATGGTCCTACTTACCCATTGCATTGGTTTTTCTTTCCTTGTTGAGAATTCCGTTCTTTGAGGTTGCTCTAACTGTAATCTTTGGACAAATATAGTAGACTGAGGGCCCTCATGGAATTGAATTCTCACAACGCTGTTTGAGCACAGGAGTCCCTGGTTTCAATTAGTCATGTAAAATGTGTGCTTCAAAACAAGCCAACTTCTTCCCTTCCTTAAGAGTAATATATTAAGAAGCAGGAATATGCTAAATACAGAGCTAAATGTTAATCTATTTTTCCCATGTTTCCGTATTTTTAATGCTTCTTTATTCTTAGGCATAAAACTCTTTTTATAGTGCTCTAAATTTCTAAAGAATTTAAGACATTATACTTCTCCAGCCTCTATAACTTCAAAATCTACCACTTGCTGATAAAACCCTGCCATTTTAGCCTCTCTTCTTTTTTCCTACTCCTAACTCCCATATGGGTCTGAAATCTGTATATTAATATAAACACTACTGCTCAATAGAACTTTCTGCAACAATGGAGGCATTCTGTATCTGCCCTGTTCAATACAGAAACCGCTAGCCACATGTGGCTGTGGAGCATTTGAAACGCAGAACAACTTTTTAATTTCTAGAAGGGCATCTTTAATGAAGCTAAAGTTCACCTACCAAACATGGGAACAGCAGATGACACCTGCCCAATTTCACAGTCTACTTCTATATCCATCTGCAACCCCATGTTCCTTTCTTCTCCCTGACACACAATTTATTACTTACCCAATGTCTTTCAGGCAAATTCCTCTGAAAAGTATTTAAATGCCATAAAACTACTTTGACAGCCAACTCTCAGGCATCTGTAGTGACAGAGTATGTATGTTTATCAACAATATAATAAAACCAGGGCTTCACATTAACTTTGGGTTTAGAATCTCCTACATTGACTCTGCTACCAGAATAGCAGAATATATTTCATTTCATTTCTCTTGACCACACCGTACAGGCGATTGTAGACCTTGATTTCCAGTCGGAACGATTCAGAAGAGAAAGAGTCAATGAAATAGAGACATTCATAATGTGATTTCTGAAACATCACAAATGTTTGATTACATAAAATATAAATTCTCCCATTTTCCTCAATGAATTCTTATTACCTATGATAATTTGACATTACATAAAAATTAACAGTGTTCTTAGAAATACTGTGGAGAAAATACAAGATTTCAAGTTTGTCCAAAGGAATTCACTCAACATATGTTTAAGATGCTATACAGAATGTATTCGATTTTAAATTTTTCTTTCTTTATAATTATAGAAATCTCTGTATAACATGGGCCATACCAATGTTTTATTTATCTTTGCCTCTTTATTTCTAGGTAGGATTTTGTTTGTTACTCTCTTGACATTGTATCTGCACAAAGTTGCTACAGTGGTGCTACATCAGTGAGTAAGATATTAGCTCCCAGCTAGACAAAATCTATCAAAAGCCCAGGGGGCAAAATACAGCTGCCCACAGTTCCACAGTACCTATAGAGACACTTCAAGCTTGTGCTTCCTATTTTGCAGATTACTGTTTTTGAGATACTTCCTGAACAAAGCAAATTGAACAAACAGTAACTACTATTCCAGGAGAGTCAGAATACACAGTGACATATTAAAGGTTCGGAGAAGTCCAGTAGAAAAGAAATCTGCTGGAATTTTTTAAACCCAGTGTTTCTGTATATATTTGGCCTTAAAACACTATTTTCTCACCTGACATCTCTTAATAGGCCCTGCAACTAGTGCTCCAGGGAATACACTGAGAAATCCTGTCTAGGCATTAAGCTATTCCAGGGATCAATTTCCTGTTTCTGAATAGTCTGGCATATTCTAGCTCTCAATAGGTTCAATAAATACAGAAACCCTATAGGCCCAACTGAATGTCTATGTCTAAGTTTGAGAGGTTTCCAAGAGGTTGATAAGATGAATGAATGAATGAATGACTTTCACTTTGTATTCCAAGAGTCCCCCCCATGAGAACTTTTCTGGCAGTTTATAGTTGCTATGTTACCAAGAGGTTTCAAACATATTTGGGATCACAACTGCTCATCAAGCTACAAATTTGTCATTAATTGCAGATGCAATTAGCTATACAATTACTCTCCAGATCTGTAGGCTCTTGTAGACAAGAGTTCCCTACTAAAAATACCTGGACAGTCTGTTACAAATAGCAGTTCCCAGGACAGGATAACACACAGCAATTTGCATGATTTGCTTGGGGTTTAGCTTGATTTCTTTGAGACTAGAGGAATAAGCTCTCTTATGTGATTTGGTCAAGAAAATTATCTGTGTAAGGATCTCCTGTGCAAGTATTGTATGGTGAAAATGAAAAGTACCTTTGAAAGTCAAAAAGGTATCATTAAAATAGTTTTCTTTCAGGAATAAGATTGCTTCGTGACTTTTTCAAAACAAATAATGAGTGAAAATGAAAGGATTTATGAGGTGTCCAGATTTTAGAATTTTACAGTTCATTAGTTATGTTTTATCTACCTAATAACTATCTCCAACCACTCAAAGATGTGACTATTGCAGACAGTTCTCTTGCCTGCTCCACAAATTTTTCTCTAATAAAGACACTAACCCACACTTTTCATCTATGTTTAAGACGAAACCAGGCTATGGCAGTAGATTGGATGAGATAGTACCACATAGAAGATAAACCTTGGAGTCAGAAAACATAGGTTCAAATCCCCACTCTAACAGTTAAAATTATGTAACTATGCAAGGCTACTTAACTTTTCTGAATGTCAGTTTCTGAATCTGTGAAATAAGTATTATAGCACCTACAACAAAGAATAATCAAGGAATCGGGAAAGATTGTGGACACAAAGCATTTAAAACCAGCCCTGAAAATTAAAAAAAAAAAAAAGTGCTACAAAAATGGGGATTAGGTCAGGCACAGTGGTTTATGCCTGTAATCCCAGCACTTTGGGAGGCTGAGGTGGGTGGATCACCCGAGCTCAGGAGTTCCAGACCTAGACAAAATGATGAAACCCCATCTCTGCTAAAAAATATAAAAAAAAAAAATTTGGTTGGTCAGGGAGGCGCATGTCTATCATCCCTGCTACTCAGGACGCTGAGGTGGGAGGATCGTTTGAGCCTGGGAGGTGGAGGTTGCAGTGAACTGAGATCACGCCACTGTACTCCAGCCTGGGCGACATAGTGAGACCCTGTCTCAAAATAAATAAGTAAATAAATTTTAAAAAGAAAAGAAAATGGAGATCAGTACTCTAAACCACTATTTTTAGTCCAGGAAAGCTTTCAGAATTATTTTTCTCTATATATCATTTCTAGAATATAATATTTGAGCATCCATTTCTTTAAATTACATATATTGATTCTATTATTTTATTAAACAAATGCTTGAATCATTAAGGATCGAAAAATAAGGGAAAGTCCGTTCCACTGAGGGGTCACAATCACGTTGGGGCAACTGCCATGAGCACAAATCATAACAACACACCACAACAGCACATTACAGCAAGTATATTTTGAAAGAGGCATAATCACAGTGGTTTGGGAGGACAAAAAGGAGTGGCAAATTCTGCCCAAGTACAAAGGCTCAGGCTCCTTAGGGAAGAGAGCAAAACCAAGGGGATTTTCTGGGTTGGAGGAGAGAAGGAAGAGTATTTCCACAGATATATTGGGAAAGGAGATGTTCAGTGGGGCTGGAGAATGCGTTATGTGTGGTTTATAGGGAGTGGAGGCAGGACATGAAGAAAGAGGTTCAAAAGAAAGAGGTTAGAAAAGCAAAACTTGGTCAGGCTGGAAAGGAAAGGAAGAGGGAGGAGTAATTAAGCTATCGAACATCTGCTATGGCCATCATACACTAGATGCTTTTACCTACAGTCCTCCATCTAAATCATGACAACACTACCAGATAAGCAGTAGTATCTCCATTTTGCAGATAAGGAAAGTGTGCCTCTCTGAAGTTAAGCAAGTTGCCCAATGTTACATAAAAGGAAATTGAAGGAGTTTGTATTCCAGCCCAATTTTGTCAGGGGACAGAGCCTATGCCAACCTCTATTTTAAGCAAGGGGAGCCAGCAGGGGCCTTTAATCAGGAAAGGAGCTCATCAAAACAATTTTTGAAAGAAAAATAAGGAGATAAAATATGAGATGATGGATTGGAGGGAGGTGCAGCTGGGGCTTGGGAGATAAATCGGAGGTTATTACTGCTTTGCAGGGGAAAAATGAGGAAGGCCTCAGCTGAGGCAGCGCCTGTGGGGATGGAGAAGAGAGAAATATTTCTTAGACTCAAAATGGCTTGGTTACCAATTGGATGTGAATATACCTCAGAACAAAATCTCTTAACACAGTTACAAGAGAATGCATGTGGAAGAGGCCAGGCACAGTGGTTCACGCCTGTAATCTCATCACTTTGGGAGGCCGAGGCGGGTGGATCACAAGGTCAGCAGATCAAGACCATGGTGGTCAACATGGTGAAACCCCATCTCTATTAAAAATACAAAAATTAGCCAGGCATGGTGGCGCGTGCCTGTAATCCCAGCTACTCAGGAGACTGAGACAGGAGTATCACTTGAACCCAGGGGGCAGAGGTTGCAGTGAGCCGAGATCGCACCACCGCACTCCAGCCTGGCCTAAAAAAAAATAGTAAATGACCTCCTTAAAAATTCTCTTATTAATTTGGGGGATTAGAAAACCAAACATGTGACATTATGTCATCTAAACCAGTGCTTCACTTAATGGGTCCGATGTACATGATTTGGATGATGGGTGCCTAAAAGCCCTGACTTCCCTACTACACAATCGGTGCATGTAACAAAATTGCCTTGTACCCAATAAAGTCATACAAATAAAAATAAAAATAAACTCCTGCTACTTACTCAAAGTGTGGTTCACAGACCAGCACATGGCTTCACCTAGAAGTTTTTGGCAATGCCAAATCTCATGCCCTACTCCCGGCATTCTGGAAAAATATGTATTATTTTAATAAGGTCCCTTTGACGGCTTAGTGATTGTAGATACTTTAAAGTTTAAGAAGCACTAATCTAAGACAACTAACATTGAGGGTAGTGGAGGAGTAAGAGGTGAGAGGAGATAGCCAATTTTCTTTAAAAATGGGCTGTACATTCAGAATTTCAATCATGACTCTATACACTTTTAAGAGCATTCTGGTGGTTAGCACTAATTTTATTTCATATTACGTTTACCATGTTCAGAAGTTTCTAGAAAAAGAAGCAGCCACAGGTGCTGACATGGCCAATATACAAAAGGCAGATGCTCCTTCAAATGCAGTGTTTTATAAAAGACTGCCAAAATCCAAGCTATAACTGGATGATTAGGTGGCATTTGAACTGCTCGTTTGGAATGTCAGCAGGGATAATGCTTACGTAAGCTGGATGCCATCTTATATAGTCCTTCAGTTACTGGGAAATAGAAATCCAGAAGAGAATCTATTTTATCATTATGATGGACTGAGAAAGAGAACAGAAAGATCTTAAAATATTCTGTGACACTTCCGTCAGTTCATTTCATACATATGCATATTAATATGTGTGTAGGTGTGTGTAATGTTGAGAATGTCTGGGATTCTTGAATTTACTATTATATCCTGCATTTACTAATCTGATCTCCAATTCTCATTTTTTCAGTCCCTCGATTGTACCCAAAAATTCGTGAGGATCACAGCCAATATGAACAGGTTTTGAGGGAGTTTGAAGGGGGAAAAAATAGTAGACCTCAGAAAGGGTACACCAGCTAAAAATCTTCACCCAGGATTTTCCCTGGAATCTCTTCTGGCCCAGCTTCCCACACCTCATCTACCCTAAAGAGCACTGGCACCCTTTGGGTAAAGAATACTAAAACTGTGTATTCTCATTGTCTTAACATCTCATTCGTATAATGTGATGGGTAAATTGAAATATTTCTGCTTGGCTCAATAAGAAAAGCTCATATACATTCTCAGCTTTGGTATGAGGCAGGGGTGTTCAGAGCCCCTTTCTGGCCATTGCACCTATGTGCCTGTTGTACCCCTGTCCTAAAGAACTTAAGAGTTCCTATTGCTGTCTTCATCAATGCTCATTAACAATGATTTTTAGGAATCTGCTATGTCCAAGCACTTTTCTAGGCTCTGGGCTCAGAAGCAAACAAAGATGCTACTCATGTGGACCTGACATGCTCAAGAGAGCAAAACAGATAATAAACAAATTAAAAATACAACATAAAATCATGTCTAGTGGCAATGGAAAAGCATAACATGGTGTTATGGGAAAGAGAGTCATAGGGAAGCCATTTCAGCCAGGGTGTTAAGTCAGATTTCTCTTGTTAATATTTGAACTGAGACCTGAAGAAAGTGACGAAGGTACACTTGGGAGGGGAAGCATTCCAGGCAAGGGGAGCTGCAAAGTAAAGTCCTCCAGCCAAAACATACTAGGCTTATTTGGGAAGTTGCAAGAAGGTTAGTATGGCCTGGATAGAGTATAGGAGAAAAGGAGTGACAAGAAATGATCAGTAAGGAGACAGGTCATGTAGATTCTGGAAGGACCTTATGGACATAACAAAGTTAAAACCACAAACATACAAAAAAAAAAAAAGAAAAAGAAACCCTTTCATTTACTGAGATAGGCACTATGCTAATAAAACATATATACTTTATTCAGTCTCATTCTCACAATCTTCCCACCCCATACCTGGGTATCATCATTATCCTTCAAGAGAACTGAAGTTTAGATAGATTAATTATAATGATCAAGGTTGCAAAGCTACTAATGGTTGGAGTTGGGATTTGAACTCAGGTCTGTCTGACACCAAAGGCCCTTGTACTCAACACCATGCTGTTACTAGAGAGAGAGCTCTTGAATCAAAATTCACATGCACTTTGTTGGTAGAAATACCAGGAAGTTCAAGTACAGTGGATACAGCTCTAGGTCCTTCTAACTTTAATAGAATGGTAGTCTATTCTCTACTTTTTACTGCAATTAAACTTAACTTTGGTCTCATTTCCCATGCTCTTAACACAGTGAGCATCTCGTTGAATGTCCAATGTCTACAATAATATTGTAAAGCATTTATTTAAACTATAAAATAATCAAATTTTACAACATCTAGCTAACCTGTGATCAGACTCTGCAAACAATAAGTTCTGATACACAGCTGAGAAGACATTTTGATTTCAAAAATAGTTGATATTAGCTACTGAATTTGAGGTATGGGTGCCCAAAATATCTGGTGCTTTCTACCTCTTCCTAATTTACATCATCTTTGCTGATTTGTGTGCCTGCTTTTCCAGATTTCTCTCACTAAGGTGTAGATACATATATGTATATCCAGTCAGGGAGGTCTATTCCATATATAGTCATCCTTTCTCATCTCATTCTCCTACACATGAACACTTTCTAGTCTTTTTCTGCCGGTTAAAATCCAGTTGCTCCTTTAATGCCCTGCCCTTCTCACTGGAGCATTTAATATACAGCCCTGCCTGTGGACTGGATTAACCTTCGCCATATATGTTCTGCTTCGCCAACTGACAATGAACAGACTGACCTTGTTGTCTATATCTCTGAGGATGTGACTTTGCCCAGAGAGCCATGCTTGGGGCCTCACTTGCCACCACAGATGATGAGACTTTTGAGCCTCAGCTTAAGATCACTACCAACACTTCTTCCTGGCCTCCCAATCACACTTGCATCTCATGCTGACCAGAACATTTATTTGAATGTTTCAGTTAGTTGAATAATTCCTAACTCATGCACAACTGATTTATCTAACTGTCAGCTTCATTATAAGGTAGTGTAGTTTTCAAACCTATTTATAGGCATTTCCTCAGAAAAGCCCAGGAATCTGAGTGACCTGAAGCACACATTTAATGGCACAAAACCCTAACTGATTTAAAAATAAAACCCACTTAGGACAAAAATAAACCAGGTAGGTTTTCCCTCCTCCAATGCCCTGTATCCTACAAACTGGTAAATTTTAGATCTAGTTCTTTTTAAGAAAGCTCTGCTCACTGGGGCAAAAAATTGTTGTTGTAGAATAAGTGGAATAAGTTTGTTTTCAGTTAGGCCAGTGGGACAATATTCAGCTAAGCATACTCTTTCTAGAAACACTTCAGTGAAAGTTCTGTCCAACTGTTTGTTTGTTCATTTATTTTAACAAAAAACAGACTTTTCCTATGTTGCGTTTGCTGTGCAAACGGAGCTAGCATCCAATGGCATGTAAATCAGGTATAAATTATAAAGGTTTTTATATTTGTCTTCAGGACAACAACGTTTAAAATACTCTGCCTTCTCCAACAGTTTGTTGAAGTGCAGAAGCTGAAAAAATTCTGGGCTTGTAAAGAAACTGCAATGCCTAAAACTCTCCAGAAGTACTCAGAATGACAGGGCTCTTAACCAATAATACGTGAGATTCACGGAACACATTGTCACTACTCAGCAAATAATAAGAGGCAGGTATAAGTATGACATCATTGAAATACAGTCTCATTGGCGGTTCCTCTGTGTGCTGGTTACTGCTCTATTTGTGGAAGCAGCAGCCTTATTCAAATTAACCTTTTCACGCAGAGGGGTGGAGGGAGGTAGTGAGTAATATGCGGCAGTCTTTTCCCTGAAGGTGATGTGCTCTCAAATTCGCTTTGCATTGCCTTTGAGCAGACAAAATAAAAATAAATTCAGCTGTGGCAGTGTTTCACAGGGATAATAGCTGCTGGAATTAGATCAGGTCAGTGGAAAGGAATGAAAAAGAATCTGTGGCTGAGTTCAAGCAAATTTCTGAATTTTATTCTAGCTTTTATTCTTTCCCCCTTATTATTTCTCCGTGTCTCATTCGTGGTGTCAACGGCTGCAGAGACTAAACTTGGAATCCCTCCAATTGGCCATTTGAGAGGGAAATTTCTTTGAATATTAATACCTCTAGCCCATGCTGTCTGGGGGTCTAGCAGACAGGTCAGATTAATGGATGGTTTTCTGGCATTGTACAAATACTCAGGAGTATGAAGCTGATGAGATAATTTAATCACATTTACTGTAGTCTGTGAGGAACTGTCATCCTGTATCCTGTTACTGTTATATAATATAGGGCCTCCAGCTACATCAAGGATACACAAGAGAGCCCACTCAAGTTTTTAACTCTTAGGATTTTGTTTTAACTTATGAGGGCTCCGATATAAGGTGGCTGTCCTTTAATGATATATCTCTTCCTTTCCCAGTTTAGTTTCTGGGACTTCACACAACTTTGCCTAAATAAAATGCTTTGGGTCTTTGGCCTTATTTTATTTTCTCTCTTTAAACTTCTGTTTCACTGTCTATTGTCATCTGTCAAAATCATTCTATATAGAATGTAAAATTTTGAATCCTGCTGTAGAGTATATTTGCCTTGGTCATTTCCTGTTTGGGGAATTTATTTACATTTTTTCCCTTCCCTTATTACCTATTACTTTCTACCTCAAAATTTCTCTACTTGTCAAAGACAAATAAAATGATGGAAATGACAAAAGAATACAGAATGTTGACTATAAATCTGTCAACTCTGCCATAATATGGAGTTGGGCCGAAATGGCTGTATTTCAGGTAAGAAACAAGTTGCTGCCTGCATGTAGCTAAGCTCTCTCTGCTCCAAACTCAAGATTCCTTGTTCCACTATTGCATGTCCTTAAAGAGGTGTTAACCTCTGAGAGCTTAGAGCTTCCCTTACTACTCCACTGAGAGTATTAATAACCGTGTCACCACACATTAACGACGATGTCACCAGAACGACATGACATTCTCATTTAGTTACCATCCCATTCCATGTCTGTACTTGTATGGCTTCTCTAACTTAAAATTCCTTTTAACTGGCTGGACCAAAGGTAGTGAGTTATCTCAAAATTGATTGTTCGCAGTCAATTACAGATCGAACTCTTTGTTCTACCCTTTCCCCCTTCCTCACTACTGCACTTGACTAGTCTTAAAAAAAATAGAAAAAATATATAAAAATTCCTTTAAGTTTATCTGGGTGTTGTAGCTGTTGTTAGGTTCTAAATAAAGCTATAAATATTCAGAAAATAGTAGCTTAGATGAGGATGGTTCGGCTACTACGTTTTCATCACTGCTATTCCTTAAAGTGAATAAATAATGCAAGAGAAGCTTGAATGCAGAGGAGTGCCAGGAAGCTTGTTGACCAGTGGGGAGCAGGTGCTGACTGGGGAGACTGACAGAACAGAGGCAGGAAGGGTGAGGCTCTACTCCCCTAGTGCTGCATGACCGGCCCTGCCGCCACCCTGCCAGTTTTCAGCCAAGGATCACTGTTCAGCTCTTTTCTGGGTAGCTGCCAAAATCCCACCAACAAGTTGTCTAGAGCGGCTTTTAGCACAGCTCTCTGTATGCCGCTGAAACCCACCAGTCTAGGCTGCGGAGGCTTCCATTTCTTGACTCTTCACGGTTTTCTGCCTAATCCTAGCCCTTCCTTTGAAATCAGACTGTTTCCTGCCCTACCTTGGCAAACCACTCCCCACCCTGTTGAGAGGAGTGCAGAAGTTGCTGATTTGACCTGGAGCACCCCACATTTTCAGCTCATTCTGCCTGAATGCCGCATTGTTCCTGTGCTGAATGAAGTTTTGGAAAATGACTTTCAGATGTTAGAGAGTCCCACTCTGCTGCTGTTTTACCCCGTTACCTCGCTTGTCTGCCGTTTATAATCCCATAAAACTCATCGTCTGTGTTTGGCTCTGGACAAAAATGAAAAGACTCATAAAATAGCATCTTAGATGAGCTGGACTGATATAGAGTTGAAATGCTTCAGCTTAAGACCACTACCGAATAATTTAATTATTTGCCTTCCACTAGACTTACCTCTTTAGTTTGTCTGTTTGCTTCTTTTGCGGTAACTCTCAAATCCATTGGGTTATTTTAGTCAGTGCCCACAAATTACTGTGACCCTTTTTATCTGAACTCTGATCAGAAAGCCGCCTAGTTCTCCCCAGTTTTTTTTTCCTTCCCCCCTTCAAACCAGAAAAGTAGCTGCTGAAAGCAGAACAGTTGCCATGGCAACCCCTTGGCAGCTTCCTCAGCGAGTAACAGTGTTGATTTCCCTGGGCCGGGTGGGAGGGGGGTGGAGCTCTAAGGAGGTAAAGGAAGGTTACTGTGCACTTAGTTAATATGCAAAACCACTTACGCAGTGCTGGATGAGCAGTGAATAAATGCAAACAAAGCCATGCTTGATCAGCTAACATGGACTTTGCACACAAGTTGCTCTGTCCAAGGATGCAGATGTTGGCTCAGAAAGAAATTGTGCAATTGGACAGTAGAGGACACAAGAGGTCATACTACAAGAGGTTAAACACTATTTTTGTAATGGTTGGTGAATATGAAGGAAATAAACCGAAGCAGGGGTGTAATTGCCTTGCTTCTCTTTGCTTTGTTCAAAGAAAAACATAGCAATCTAAATCACAGGGATGGTGTTTTCCCTGAAAATCTAACATACTGAAGTTCAAGTTTGCATCAATTAAACTCTATGTAAGATAAACCAATATGTTCAGATATAAGCAAGTATAGCATAATTTGGTTTGTGCTTGAACAAAACATACGGCTCAAGTAGCATCTTTCACCTCCGAGTTTTCAGACAAAGAAGCAGCTTAGTAAATTGGGGCTGGGGTTGGGGGTGGATAGAGGTGGATTCTCTCTCTCTCTCTCTCTCTCTCTCTCTCTCTCTCTCTCTCTCTCAACTTTGATAGATCCCTGTTTGTTTCTTGGGGCCTGGACAGGTTGGAAATCATTTCCCCGAGAGAGCACTGGGGAGACTCTGGCACACGATTCTGCCGACAGAGGTCACCTGCATGAGCAATGAGCAGACGGGCTGCAAGCTGTGGAAGCGGCAGCCAGCCCCTTACCTAGTGGCCTGCAGCTTTGCATGCTAAGGAAGAGGTAGGCTGATGGAAAGCCTGCAGCAGTGAGCCGAGGTCTGCCCAGCAGGTGTCACTAGGGACTTAAAGCTTACCAGACCTTTGGGACCAGGGCTAGGAAAGAGCCATGTAATGATTTATAAAGCTTACTTTAAAATATTTTTGAGAGGCTATATGTGAAATAATTCTGAGGCTTTCTCCTTCAAAGGGACATGAAAATGATAGCTACAGCTTGGTTTAAATGATTTCTGGACTATTCTTTCCAAGGCTCTACCTCCATTTACTGAGTCCCCATTCCAAAAACCAGACAGAGACATAAAACTCATGGAAGGCACACTGAATCCATTCACGATGAGAAAATACATGTGCAAAGCCACAGCAAGTGCATAAAATTATTATGATGATGAAGATCTCTGCTTACAAAATCAGCCTCCATGTCCTAACACCACAGATGCTGATTTTGTAAGTCATCTCAGGATTAAGATCAGAGCTCACTTTAAAAATGCAAATTACCTAGGAGTCCCTGTAAACGTGATGTCAGCTTGTATTTTATCAGTGCTAACAATTTTTTAACAAACCCATATGAAGGCTATCCCTACTTTTAAAAAAAGACTGCATGGATGGTATTACCTGCCTTCTAATTTATGCACCAAGAATGTGCATATGAAAATTTTTTCTAACAATTACATTAGAGAAAATTTGTCTATCCTGAATACGCTTTTTACTGTTTCCCTTTTCATCTTGTCTTCCTGGAAGCTCAATATTTTGAAATGTCATGAATTTCAGTTGCTTCCCTAGCTTAGATTTTCTTCTATAATTTCTCCATCCATCCTGTGTTATTTGAATAGTGACATCCTACCTTGTTTTAATCATATTACAGTTTTAACACATTTGTACTTTTATCTGTACTTTTCGTTGTATACATTACCTCACATCCATTTCAGTGTGGCACACCCTCTTAGAAAGAAGAGAAGAAAGGAAAGGAGAGACAGAAGAGAAAGAGAGAGAAAAAAAGAAGAGGTAAAATGACCCTGCTATCAACATTCAGCATTTTATGATGAATTTGTTCATCATGTTTATCTTCAGTTATCCTTTGGAAGATAGAAAGAGTGAGCTAAGAGTAGTGGTTGGGGAGAGGGTAGTCCTAATTTTGTGTGTGTATGGGAGGATTTCTTGTGCCTAAAAAGACAACTTGAGCACTCAGGGCCTGTGAAATACTGTAGGAAGAGATAGGAGAGTAGAAGCTGGAAACAGAGGTATGAGCCTGGAAAAGAAGTGCATTGGCTTCAGGGCTTGGCTGAGAATTATTAGAAAAATGCTTATACCTCTTTTAGAGCATGTTACAAAGCATGATTAGGTGCACTTTTACCTTGCAATCTCAATAAAATATTTATCAAATAGATATAATCCTTCCCATTTCACAGATGAAAGAAACTGAGCCTCAGGGATGTTGTCATGTAATCACCTGCCATTGTGTAACAGAACCAGGACTAGAAACCAGGTACTCTGCTTGCATTTCTGCTATGGATGGTAACTACAGATGGGGAAGAATGAAAGAAAATCACAGGGAGTATAGGGAAATTATGCAAATAATCCTATGTTTTCTATTCTTTCTCCTGGGGATGCCCCATCACACAATACCACCAAGGATGCTCCCACAAATGAAAACGTCAGTCTGCAGTTATGCAATTGTGGCAGAATTTTATTAAGAGCTTAGTCGGCCATTATACTTCTTTCTGTTTTATGAGAGAAATGATAAATGACTTTAGCAGTATTGATGTCTACAGGCCTATTTTCTAACCGCAACTCTAGCCATTTCTCTAATCGCTTAACTAATATTGTTTTAACGCCAGCTATTGTTATTATGCATTATTAATAAAAGACCACCATTACTATTAATATCACTTATGAAAGATTCCATAAAGAGCTTTGAGACTGCAGATGCAATTAACAAGAAGCCAAATTCTCCATGGTGTAAAAAAAAAAAAAATCAGGTAGGGCTGGCTATAGGCATTTGATCTTATTTAAGTGTTCTAAGGGGTTGTAAGTGAATTTCACATGCCCACAAGAAAAACCATGTGCCCTATGAAGATCAATTCATGCAGTTACTTGTCCTCCTCCATACAAGAGAAATTTGATGAGTTAAAAGAAACTTTCATAAACCTCCAATCTCAAGGCCATGACAGTGGAAATTATTAGCTCACAGTTAAAGGAGCTCATACTTACCCAAAAGGCCCTACTTATAATGGGTGGGAAAAAAAACATATTTACACTTTCAAATAGGATATGGGATGTTGCATAAGTGAGAATGTTGTCGTAATTCTATACCGTAGTGTAAATATACTACAATGCCCATAATTTTCATGGACTTCATAGTATATATGAAAGCTGAGAACATGCACAGAAATCCCTCTCGCATGTCCTCCCTTCACTGACATTCCCATTGAAAAGCCCTCCTCTCACCTCCAAAGCCACCATTGCCCACCAGGCTTAGAGCCATTGGATCTGTCTGTCATTTTGTCAGGGAGCCATGAATTAGAAGCAAGTTGAGCACAGCCAGAAGGAACTGGGCCTTAGCTTCTGACTCTACTACTCCATAAAGGAAGACTGGACTGCCTTCAAGGTAAAGATGTGGTTCTGCACTGTAACAGAGGGATCACCTTAGCAGAGTGGGCCAATGGACTCACCATCCTGAGGAGTCCTGTGTTGCACAAAAATCATCACACTGTTTTACATTTGTTCTTTGAGAAGGAAGCTTATACCACAGTAGCTGAGGATCACATTCTGAATAACACTCTCACGTCCCCCTTCAAGACTTTTTGTTTCTGAGTTTGTCTTAAGGAATTGAGAACCCCTGATTTTTCACCTGGCATTCAGCCTCTCTCTAAGATTAAAAGGCCTGGGTCAGCTGGATGAGCTGAGGGCATTAAGGGTGGGTCCACTCACTATAAGATCATAGATATACCTGGAAATTTTCAAGGACTCCAAGGAACTTATAAGACTTATACACACTAGGCCGGGCATGGTGGCTCATGCCTGTAATCTCAGAACTTCAGGAGGCCGAGGCAGGTGGATCACAAGGTCAGGAGATCCAGACCATCCTGGCTAACACGGTGAAACTCCATCTCTACTAAAAATACAAAAAATTAGCCGGGCATGGAGGTGGGTGCCTGTAATCCCAGCTACGGGAGGCTGAGGTAGGAGAATGGCATGAACCCAGGAGGCGGAGCTTGCAGTGAGCCGAGATCCTGTCACTGCACTCCAGCCTGGGTGACAGAGCAAGACTCTATCTTGGGGAAAAAAAAAAAAAAAGATTTATACATACTTATGGATGATACTTTTGCCAAAAGCCTCAGTCTCAGTGAAATAGTAATAATCATGTATTTTTTCTAGAAATGCATAGGGTTTAATTCTTTAAGAGTTCATAATTTAATCTCACATCGGTCAGGTGAGTATCATTATCCTCATTTTAACAGAAGTAGAAACTGAGACACAAGGGCTGAGAGTACTGAAAGTTATGGAATAAGGAATGAAAAATTCTAAATACAGCCCCAATTCCCCTGACTTCCAATCTAATGCTTGGTCTGCCCACTAGTGCATACTGTTTCATTAATTAGGAAAAGCTCAAAATCCCTGTAAAGGAGTATCTGCATGGAATGTAGTGGGTATCTTTAGTTTATACCCTGTCTAGATGAATTGATTTTTCTGTTTTATTAACATGAAACTCTTGGGTTATTCCATTGGACTTATTCACATTTGTATGTGTTTTACTATTTTCCAAATTATGGCTCAGCATGTAATAGAAATGGGATTTTTGCAGAAGTTTTGGATTATGCTATTAATGTCTTCCTAGTATTTTTAGTAATCAAAGGAAAGCATCTTACTTGCATTAGAATATTCATGAAGTAAACGTTGAAAATATATAGCAAGTATTAAAACAATATAGTCTGAATTTTTGGAAGACATTTTCAAACTGGCTTAGATGATTTGCTCAGAAAAGACTCTTCGGTGAAGTTTGCAGTCTACATTTCCTCTGGTTTCTCCAATTTGGTAGGTTGGAAACTCATGTGCATATTGTTTGTTTTTAAGGTAGAGAAATATTGTGAATTTTATGTCTTTTTTGGACACTTTTTAACATTCTTGCTACATCATTACAATATGTCATAAAGAATTGAGACACATTTGTGTTTTGCTACAATAAAATCTATCAACACATTGAAAATCAAAATATGAGCATAGAGAAAATAGAACACTAGGAGGTTAGAATCATAAAATACTTCATGAATCATGTAGCCAGTATATAACCAGGGGGGGAAACTGAGACTCACGTAAGTTAAGTGCCTTGCCCTAAGTCACACGGCATTCATTAATAGAACTGAAACCGTAATAGAGGTCCCCAACCTCTGAGACCCATCCCTATTTCATTACCCTTTCTATTCAGTTTTGGTTCTTTGGTTCAAATTTCTATTCCTTGGTTTGCTCTTTCTTCTTCCCTGAAGTTATTATTTCCATACTTCCTTTTCTGCACATGCTGTTGTGCAGTCACCCATAGATCTGAATTTCCATCACACAGCCTCTCAGGAGGTGCGTCCCCATCACACTGAGACCATGCTGGTGTGAAAAGATCTTAACATCATCACCCTATAGCCCTAGGGAACTTCAGACCATTAACATGCTTCACCCTCTCAGTTCCCACCCCTGCAGGGTGAATCCACAGAAAACACTGAAAATAGTGGGTGGTATTAACATAGAGGAAATACACAGATCCAATCACCAAGATTCATAAACCATGTATGTGGCAAGGAAGAGGACTGGATTTAAAAGTCTTGCAAGCAAGGCATCATCTTAATCACATACTACCTGCTTAAGTGTGCAGAATCTTCAGACTGAATTTTCTGCTAAGCTGTGAGCTCTGAAGATGAATATTAAATTAGAATTTGGGAAGGAAAATATGCCCTCCTTCACAGAAAAGCACTTTTATTTTAACATTTAATAATGAAGCTGCCCCACAGAGGAGCCTGGAGCTTGTTGCCACTAGAAACTGAGTCATACTTTCTAGGGCTATGGTCAAATTGCAAGTCCCACTCCCACCTTCCCCTAAACTCCTCCGGTAATTGACTGACCTTACTAAGGTTGACTGAGCTGAACTTTCAGATGATCCCTGGTGTTTGGGGGCTAAGCTGTGCTTCTGAAGGTGCTCCTGAGGAAGAGGATATTATTTGTGAATGCAGAAGGGAGCCCTCTCCGATAAGAATTTCCAAGGAAATCTCCCTTACAGAAGCTAGCAATGTTGAGTAGAAACAATTTTACATCTACCTGAAGAAAATGTCAACACAGTTTCCATTTATTTCAAACTATTGTGAGAGATATTGAATTATTGTGCAAGAAAAATATCCACCCCATACCCACAGAGAAGATTGCAACAATCTTCCAAAATGGAGAATGTCTTGTAACCAAGCACATAGATCAAAAAATGATTTATGTGAGCCACTGAATTTGTACATATTTTGATGTTATTCATTCTATAGCCTTATTCCATTACCTTGACAGAAGAAAATGTGTATCTGTTTCTAAACTTAGATTCTAACTGATTTTTAAAATGTATTTATAGCTTTGACATAGTTGAAAGCAATTAATGTACCTTACAATAAAATATATACCCTAGTACTTACTTTATCCCTATTTCTCTAAGAACTGGTTTTCTTTGATTAATAACTCCATGCCATATCTAATTTTTAAATGCCTTGCATCCACACTTATCACACCAAAATACTTTAACATTCTTTAAGTCTTAATTCTTATCTCCTCAAGGTTTTGCGGGAAAGAGGGACAGGAATAACCTTTCACCTTTGTCTCTGATGACAGTCAGTGCAAAACTACTTCATCATCCCAGCAGGGAAGGCCAATACATTCCCAGCAAGTATAATTTCTACCAGAACAACTCATGAAATGTGGTAAGAAATAGTGTGTGGGTGTCTTAAGATAATACTTTTTAAAAAAAAATAGAGAAGAGAGTTTTAAAAATCATTCTTTTTAAAATGAGATCTAAAAGGGGGAAGATGAAAGAAAAATGTGCAGAAAAATAAAATACAACAAAGTATAGATATTATATACAAGACCATGGGAGTTATAAGTCTAGGAGAAGCATAAGAACCCATTAGTAATGGATTACAAATAGTTTTCACCCCACTGTAAAGTAGTTGTGGGAGAGAGTATCAGACATATCAAAAGTAGTGGCTATCTGATTGTGGTTCCAGATAAGGTTAGTATATTCTTGAGTTTGTTTTCCTCCCTTTTTCTGTGCCAGTTTTTATGGCACAGTCCTTGGCAAAAAAAAAAAAAAAAGAAAAAAGAAAAAAAAGATGAGTATGGTGTAGTTTCTACATACAGTTCGTCATCTGTTAGGGAAAAGGGTAGATAGAAAAATTCACGAAACAGTATTTGCTATGATTTTCACAGGGTGGTGGAAAACCAAAGGTTCTTTCACTGCTCTGACTCCATCCACAAGGGTACACCACGAGGGTACTTTCTACCACCAACTTGCAGAAAACTAGAGAATGTGACCAGAGATCATGTTTTGATCCCAAGATGGGTTTCCCCATTGGGTCTCTTTCATTAGCCTCCCTGACTACTGACAAAGTTGCACAGTTTTCACCACCATGAGAAACAATCTGTGTATAGATGTGTAAATTTCCAGTGTGTATTTTTATATGGCTTAAGGGTAAATCAGATAATAAGGCAAGCTCACTTCCCTGACCACACCTTTACTCAGAAGTCTAAGGAACAGACTGTTTAACCTGTTTCCAGTGGTTTCAGGGACTTCTGTATTGGGTGTAGCAAGGACAAAACTGGTCATTACACTCTACCCAAAAAGATCATTAGACCATATCAGGTTGCAGTCATGCTTTTGGAAACTTGGACATGTTTCTTAACTTCTCTGAGCAACTGTGTCCTAATGTGTAAAGGAGATATGAGACTGGCTTGCAGCATTGTTGTGAGGATTGGTAATTATTTATGTGACAATAGAATTTAATAGATGATAACAATTATTAATATGCTCACCAACCACTCAGGATAAATTTTAAAAGGAAGGTTTGTAAGCCCATTTGCAACCCTAAGGATATGCTACAGAGGCTGCTAACAAGAAATATTACTAAAATCTCTTCCTTGTCCCATTGTCCAGACCAAAGTTATTCAACACTTCTGGTCCTCTGTGCTTAAGATAACATTCTTGTGCATCCCTCTGCTCTTAGAGACTTTCACCTTCTCTCATAAATTTGCCCAAGACTTAGATCCCCTTTAACCATGAGAATAAGTCAAAACTTTTTAACATGGAACTTGAGGGTCCTTAAAATCTCAAATCAAACTAGTTTAACAACACTTGACAATGTCCATTATGTACTCCGTGCTCTTTTTCTATTGAGTCCACTATGGGACAACCACCTGATGTGTTTTCCTGTACCACATGTTTTTTGTTCAAGCTAAACTCCAAAACTGACATGTGTTTTACCATTTTGTTCATTGGTTACAGAACTGATGTTCCCATTACTGTGCTTAACATGCTGATTCAGTTCAACACTTTACTGTGCTGAATTAAGTTTAGCCCTTAATATATTCCTCAAAGAGCACTTATGACTAAAAAAAAAAAAAATGAACAAAATTTCTGTTTATTTCAAACCATTGTGAGAGATACTAAATTGTTGTGCAGAAAAAAAAAATTTTTCTTACCCACCAAAAGTTAAACCACACTTTGCCAATATGCATGGTTAGTTTTGGGGAGTTACATAACATTTCTTCCATTTAGGGTGGAAGTCATAGAAGTCAGAATGTAAAATACTTTACATTCAGGATAGAAGGCCAAGAGTCTAAGTACAAAGATCAGAGCCAAATGCATTACTTTTAGAAAGAGCTGTCTAGCATCAACTAAATTAAAGTGCACAGTGGGGCTTCCTACGTCCCATTATGGTTTAATATCCCAGTGCTGTGATGGAAGAGACTCTCCCCCAGGGGATTTTAAGCACAGGTATGTCCAAGAGGGAAAGAATGAGTCTAGAACCTGTTTGGGCAGAGTAATATGACCCACTAGTACATGGATGTAGTCAAAGGATACGGGCTGTCTCCAGTTTCACTAGAGTTGATACTGCCAGAGCTTCTTGGGTAACCATGGGAAAAGATGTATTACCTCTTCCTGGCAAAAGTAGCCAAAGTCATCTCCCCACCATGGAAAGTGGTGGGGTATCTTCTTATTGAATAAGAGGAGCCAGAGAATCAACATTCCTTAACAGTTCCTTAATTAGTGTTCTTAACAGTGACACTATAACTGGATATTAACATAAGATCTTCTCTCTGTTTTGGCTGAGGCCTGAAACTAATAGATGCTACATTTCAAAATGAGATTTGAAAAATATCCCATGGCAGAAAATTAATTTTGCAGCTTCTGAGATAGTAGCCCTCCTTTAAAAAGTTAGGAAAAGGTGAGAAAAGGCAGCGGGTGGAGATTGAGGAGGATTTTTGGAGACAGCTATTGGAGCGCAATGTGGTCCTCACTCTCTGCCTCAAGTCAAAAGAGGGGGTTTTTAAGGAACAACCACGAGGATTTAATATGTGTCCTTGGCTGTTTGGAGGACACTGTGGACTGGTGCCTTGATTCTAGCTTGGAAAACCTAAAATGCAAAACCTAGGCTGACAGATTCCCTTGTGGAAGAAGGAAAGAGAGTTGTTGCTGAATTGGGATCAGTATGTAGACAAAGAATTTAGATGGAGATAAGGAGAGGGCCATGTCGGTGATGAACACATGACAGTTTCCACTGGGCCAGATATGGCCTAATAAGTGAAAAAGCTGTTGTTTCTGGTCATCTTACATCCTGATCCAGAAAACTACCTGAAGTAGGAATAGACCTCACCAGAGATAAACTGGCAGCTGTCACCAGATTCCTAGGGCTGAGGTAGCAGGAAATAATCAGCCCAAATAGAAATAGAAATCATCAGAAATTGGTTGGGGCAAGGGAGGGGATGCTGGGAAAGTTGGGAAGCCAGAGGTGGTGGACGTCTCAAAGAACTCGTGAGAGCACCTGTAAGAGAACACGTCCAGATTAAACACACATCAGGACCAGAGAACAGCACCACCCAACCCACAATACTACCAGGCATGTAAGATACAGCTTGCCCCAACCTATCTCTCCTCCTACCCTTGTCTCCATCAGCTCTAACCCTGAAGGGAAAAGAAAATTTCACTAATAGGAGCATGTGGAAAGGTAGATGTGCTTGGCAGAGTAGAAGAAGCCAACTACTCTCCATCCTTTGGGCTCAGGCTTCCAACCTGAAATGTGTCTGAGCACCTATGGGAGATGCCTCAACTGGACAGCAAGACTGACCTTGTGACATCCCATGGGACAGGACATTCTAATTATTAAATTGAGAGAGAGAGTTTTGTGCCCTAAGAACAAATTTTTAAAGTCACAGCTCCTGCCTAAGTTTTCATCCAGGGAAAGGGGAAGGAATAGCCCTATAGAATTCATTGTAAGAGGCTCTGGGAAATAATCTATAATTGCTTTATGATTACCGCCCCTGAGCCATGTTTATTTCCATATAATACTAACAGTTATTTTCACATGCCTCTCTGCCCACTCTGGTATCACTGATGGCAGCTACTCTGTCTTATTCATTTTTGTATTCTGAGTATCTAGTCTATTAACTGGCACATGGCATTAAACACTTACTGAATAATACAGAAGGGAATACCGTGACTACCAGGGAAGACATAAAGAGATTTACAAGTGTCTGAATGAGGGAGGAACCACATCCTGTTGGGCAGGTCAAGAAGACTTCACAAACATGGTCAAACATGATATGGGCCATGTGCATTCCACCAGGTACCTATTTAGACCAACAAATTCAAGAAAGATATAGTAGCAGAAGAGAAAGTGCAGAGATGAGGTGATCCAGTAGCCTCCAGAAACGAAAGCAATAGCTACACTGCAGATGGCAATGTGAAGACATGTATAATATAATCATTTGATAGTAAAAGAGAATAGGGAGCAAGAGGAGAACCAGAATGAGATTGAATGAGATTTGAAAGGCCAAGGCCATCAGGCTATTGGCAGATCCCAAGACAGAAACAGATGAAGCTGATTTGAGAAGAGTAGACCAAGAAACATACCAGAGGCCCATCAAGGGCACTGCCGTGGGCATTGTCCAGAGGATCCTGCTAAATCAATGGGCAGAAGTGGGTACCTGAAGTTTATAGAGTCACTTTATTTTCTAGACCTGAAAGAACTTTGCTTCTCCAATCATCTATTGCAAGCAAAAGATAATCAGCTCACTCTGAAAGCAGGAGTTAAAGGTAAAACCATGAGAACAAAAGACTAGGTTCAAGTATGGAGAAGAGAACTGGAAGATAGTGAAAACGGGGTAGCCTGACAGATGGGTTTGGCTGAGTCAAACAAACTGGGTTAAATAAGATGAAGAGTTGCCTGTCCTGTATCCTGTATAGAAAAACACAAGTCATTTGTAGGAAGGCTTATTAGGAAGACAACTTACTTTTTATAATGCTGAAATCAGGTTAAGATAAATATTAAGGTATCTTCAAACCACAGAATAAACTTATAAAATAAGAAGAAATGTGCAAAATTTAGATGTGGTAAATTGTGAAACTTTACTAAATAAATAAGGCTTCATTACTGGAAGATGGTATAGTATATATTTCAATTCCTGTTCAAAATAATGTGCATAATTTATCCAAACCCCCAAAGTGAATGGAATTTTTAAAATTTGATCGTATTACAATTTATATGACTTTGGGAGGCCAAGGTAGAAGGATTGCTTGAGGCCAGGAGTTGAAGATCAGCCTGTACAACATAGTGAGAACCCATCTCTACAAAAAATTTAGAAATTAGCCAGGCATATCATTCTCAGCAAACTAACACAGGAACAGAAAACCAAACACCACATGTTCTTACTTATAAGTGGGAGTTGAACAATGAGAACACATGGACACAGGGAGGGGAACATCACACACTGGGGCCTGTTGGGGAGTAGGGAGCAAGGGGAGGGAGAGCATTAGGACAAATACTTAATCCATGCGGGGCTTAAAACCTAGATGACGGGTTGATGGGTGCAGCAAACCACCACGGCATATGTATGCCTATGTAAGAAACCTGCACGTTCTGCACATATATATATATCCCAGGACTTAAAGTAAAGTAAAAATAAGAAATAAATAAAAGTAATAGAGCAAATGAAGAAAGAAAGAAAGAAAGAAAGAAAGAAAGAAAGAAAGAAAGAAAGAAAGAAGAAAGAAAGATAGAAAGAAAGAAAGAAAGAAAGAAAGAAAGAAAGAAAGAAAGAAAGAAAGAAAGAAAGAAGGAAAGAAAGAAAGAAAGAAAGAAAGAAAAAGACAGGCATAATGGCGTGCACCTATAGTCTGATTGCAGGCAACGGAGTGAGACCCTGTGTCTAGAAAAAAAAAAAAGGTTATATACAAACAAAAATACCCAAAAAGAGGCAGGAAAGTTTTGATAAAAAAGTAGTAACAAGGAATCTGTCCAACTACATTTTAAATATATTTTAAGATACAATAATTAAACCATACTGTATTTATGCAAGAAAAATTCTGGAGACTAAAGCAAGCAAAGTGAAAATTCAACACATATATTAACTCTACATAAGAATTTAATAATTTATGCAAGTTGCATTTTTAAAAGCAAGCTTCTATCTCTAGGAAAAATTTGATTATTCAACATGTAGTTTGAAAGCAACTAGTTAGACTATAACGGAATATAGAATTGTTCTGTTAAGATGAAAGTCAGGTCACATGACTTATTTGCTTAAAACCCTCCAATGGTTCCCCGTATCTCTCAGAGTAAAGGATTCATAGTGACATTGGAAAGCCTAAACATCGTGACACATATTTTCTCCCTGACTTCATTTTGTACTGCTCTGCCCCACCAATCACTCCGCCTCACACACACTGACCTCCTTACTGGTCTGCAAACAACACATAAAAGTTCAAATTACAAGGCTTTCATATTTGTGGTTCCCTTTGCTTTGAACAATTTCCCCCAAAATCCTCACATGGCTCTCTCCATGTCTCCTTCAGATCTTTGCTCAAATGTCACCTTCTCAGTGCCTTGCTTCACTAAAAGTATGAAAGTACTAAGAAAGAAAATATAAGTGAGTCTGTAATCTTGGGGTGTAAACAGGCTCCTTAACCAAGACTCACAGATTGCTGATTAATAAATTTTACCACACAAAAATTTAAAACATCCAAATATGACAAATGGAATTTAAAAAATTGATGAAGTGGGAGAAATATATTTGTAACATGTGCCAAAGTATAATTTATTTCCTATGAAAAACTATGACATGTAAGAGGAATAACAATGTAACAATGGGTAAAGGAATGGAAAAGAAAATGCTTACACATACATAAAGACAGATCACCAACATGCATGAAAAATATTCAACTTCAATTATAAAAAAAAAAAGAAGTGAAAAATAAAGGAATGAGCCGCCAAACTAGCAAAGAAAAAAGAATGGTAATATACAACATTGGCATGAGTGAGAAGAAAGAGACTTCTTTCTTTTTCCCCACACAGCCACCAGATACATAAATAAGTAAAATCTTATTACTCAAGAGTAAGTTGGCAATATGAATAAAAATATTTAAAATATGCTTACCTTTTGACCCAGGAATTTCACTTCTGAAAATTGGTCATAAGGAAATAATTAGGAACAGGTGGAAAGATTTAACTACAAAATATAATAAAATGGTAATGTGCGATCTTAGAGGTAATAAGTAATGTAAGAAGAAGCACTGCAATATTTTTCTCTTGTTGATGAGGACAGAGAAAGAAGACGTATGAGCTGATTATATGTAAATAAGCCTTAGGTCTTTTTTTTAAGTGCCATCTGGAAGTGGCAGTTGTATTGCATCTTCACTAAGGCTAGGAGAGGAAGTAGTGGGCTTAAGCTTCAACATAGGGATTTAGGTTAAATATAAGAAAAGTATTTCCTTACCAGAAGATTTGTAAACATTGGTATTGAGTGAAGAGGGAGGTGGTATAATCACATTCCCTGGAAGATTTTCCTGCAGAATAGATTTTTATCAAATTAAGATGATTTTCGGTGCATGCCTCAAGAGGCAGAGTTTGGTGTCTTAAGTTCATGTGCCAGTCTTCTATTTTTAATTACACTATGATGTTTGATCACTGCATTTGTGCACTGTGTGGCATGGGTTCATAGTAGAGTAACTGTCACTTCATCTCATTAAAATAATACTTCGTATTATTCTTTATTACCCAAATGAAATAGGTTTCTCAGTAAGAATTAGGGTGGAAGACTGTCTTCAACCCACCAGCTGCCATGCATTATGTAATCCTTGTACTATTTGAACTCCTTTGGGTGATCTTGGCTTTTCCCAGAAAGCTGTGAGTCTGAAACCAATTTATCAACTCTCTAAAAAGCCAAAAATATTCCAAGTCCACTTCTCAGTTACAGTAGAAACAAGCTTTCTACTTTGCATAACTCATTCAGGTTTATTATGATTATTAATTTTATTATGGTATTTTTACTGAGTATTGCAGACTAAGATTACAGCAAATATTAAGCACAATTCTATTAGAGTATAACAGAATTGCACACAACCATTGCAAAATTCTAATATAAAGGGAAAACTTCACAAATATGGAAAAAAGATTTGTACATGCTCCAGAAAAAAAAAAAGCTGGATATAAAAACTATTACAGGAATAGATTAACATTAAGTCAATTCTAATCATTTTTCAAGGCAGCACAGATACACTTACCAAAGGAAAAAAATGAGCCCAAGGAGAAAAGAATATAAATTGCTTATATGGAAATTAGAAGGGATATTACTCTATTATTTACAGCTTAAAGAATCACATTTTCATATTCAATAAACTTCAAATATCCTCATATTTCAAACAAACAAAATCTGGCATTGTTTCTGTAGTTGCATCATAACTATATGCCACAAAATAAGGAATTCTGTAATGACTTCTTCACGATTATTTCTATGTTTAGATTTTTCTGAGCAGGAAAGGAAAAACTAAAATAAGCACTATTTGAAAGGATACTAGTAGAGCACACCCCTACCAAAAGGAAAAGAAGATGGCATTTGTGGTTTCCACAGCCCATTTGACCCAGTTTGCTTAATTTATTTTAAAGCAATGTAGTTTCTCCTTAAGTCCTTGCCTTACAGCTGGTCTATTCTTTTTAAGCTTTTACTTTTATTCCTTGGACACAACCTGGTTTATCTCACTCAGAATACCAGGTACCTAGCATACCAAGGTCTTTCCTGTCTACAAATCAGACCCCTCCTTGGCTTCAGGAAAATGATACTTCTTGAGTTTCCTAAACTCCAACCTGAAAATATTCTTTAGATCACTCACTTTCCCTTCTAGACACATAGCCTTCTTCTAAGTATTTAAGATTTTACTTTTCAAAATTTCCTTTATCCTGCCTCCCTAGTGGATGAAGAGTTTATTCTTGTTTCTTTCAGCTCTTTGTTATCATATTCTATTAATGTTCCATAGCATTCGGCCTAGTCCCCTCCTAGGTAAGGGTTACCACCTGACACTGATCCTCCTTTCCATAACTTCAAACCTAATGTCTGAAGTCTTATCTCAGGCCCTCTTGTGTAGCCATATTCTCTTCTCAAAGACTTTAATATGACAACTATCATACAACTTGTAACATTTAAGTTTGACTCAGTAGCACTGCGGGTTCTCAATCTATACAATTATTTTTAAGTTTTGCTATACCATCCTCTCAGATATTTTAACTTTGATCTTCAATGACAGTCCAAGAAAGTGACTATCACAGGAATTTCCAAGAAAGGAACATCAGGGGAGTCTTAACTTTATTCCACATGTATGTTTAGCCTTTATACATATAAATACTTACTAAATTGACTATTAATCTTGAAATCAGCTGTTAAATTGGTAGAAGTATAAGTCCAAGACTAGAGAGCAATTTATTTGACAAGAGTAATTATAAGTAGCACTTTAGAAGTTAAAGAAAACAATGTGCCAGTTTTCTTTACAACCCTGATTTTTATTTATGATGGCAATATGTACAGCAAAAAATAAATAAATAAATAATAAACTATGTTATCAGACTCCCTTGCAGCTAGGGCTGGTCAAGAAATGCAATTCTTGCCAATAAGATTGCAAATACAAGTCACTGAAGGAGTTTTCAGAAAGTTTTTTATAAAAAGCTGACTCCACTGGCATGAGTTCTTTGCCCCTTGCCCTTCACCCTTCTTCCTAGCTAGAGTCTGGTCACCATACCCATGGGGCAAAGAGCCATCTTGAAATCATGAGGAAGACGACAAACATTTGAAGGGAAAGAGAAGCCTGGATCTCTGATGACATTGTGTATACCATACCTGACTTGCCTACCTTCACACTTTTGTCATGTGAGAGAAAAATTGATCCCTTTTTATGCCACTGTATTTAGTGTTTCCTGTGGCTAGTAGTTCAATATATCTTTAGCTGATAGATATAGTTGGCAAAAAGCTGGATATGAAATGTTTAATAAACAAATATATTTTAGGAAGATGTGTTTATCATTGAGAAAGTGACTTTCCTTTGGAGTAGAAACTAAGGTATTATAAATGCAACACAGTCATTCATTTTTTAAGAGGCTCTTCTGCCTTACAAATGTCTTCTGCTATGATATAAAAATGGTCCTACCATTTTTCACTTTTTTACTGTCTATTGGTCATAAGTTTTCTTAAGGAAGGAGAGAAAATTAAGAGATTAGAGACCTCATATTAATGTCCAAGGCTTATTCTTAGTTTCTACTAATGCTTAAGCATAGTTGCCCTTTTTCTCCTTAAGCTTTATGTTGATTGCAGACAACAGAAAGTTATTCTAATTTAGCAGTCCCAAACCTTTTTGGCATCAGGGACTGGTTTTGTGGAAGACAATTTTTCCACAGATGGGGTGGGAGGGATGGTTTCGGGATGAAACTGTTCCACCTCAGACCATCAGGCATTAGTTAGATTCTCATAAGGAATGCTCAACCTAGATTTTTCACATGTGCAGCTCACAATAGGGTTTGTGCTCTTATGAGAATCTAATGCCACTGCTGATCTGACAGGAGGTGGAGCTCAGGCAGTAATGCACACTCACCCACCGCTCACCTCCTTCTGTGCGGCCCAGTTCCTAACAGGCCATGAACCGGTACCAGCCTGGGGGTTGAGGACTGCTGTTCTAACTAACCTAAGCAAAAAGAGAATTTACTGGAATATCAAGTGGCTCACAGAATTGATGGGAAAGCCAGACCCAATGCAAGTCTAACCCTAACTACCCAGAGTGAGGTCAAATCTCACAGATTAAGTGCATAGTCCATGACACTCCCCTGACTTCAGATACCAGCCCCAAGCTCCAGGGTTCGCAGGCTACCCGCACATCTACCCAACCAGCTACAATTTTGGAGATTCCAACTACACACTCAATAATTTGCTTACAGAACAACTCACAGAACTCAGCAAAGTGTTATGATCAATTTTTTATTATAAAGGTTACAAAGCCATACAGCTAAATGAAGAGATGTATATTGATGGGCAAGGTTTGCGAGGTCCCAACACAAAGTTTTCCAAACACAAAGCTTCCGTGTCCTCAGTATGCTTCATGCCTGTAGCACACTGATGTGTGATTACCAATCAGGGAAGTTCACTCAGGCTTTCAATGTCCACAACTTTTATTGAGGTTTCTCTATGTAGCATCATTGGTTAAATCATCAGCCATATGACAGAACTAAATCTCCAGCTCCTTTTACCTCACTGGAGGTTAGGAGGTTGGCCTGATACCATATCCTGCAAAACCCTAACCCTCTATTCATCTGACTGGTCTTTTTGACATGGCCAGCCCAATCCTGAGTCATCTCAATCATATAAATTACCTAGGAGTCTGCCATGAATCACCTTGTTAGCATACACTATCAGGTGTGATCTGAACGGCTCATCATGAAAAAAAAGACACTCCTATTACTCAGAGAATTCCAAGGGTTTAGAGGCTCCCCCTAGTAAGCAGGACAAAGGCCAACCAAGTTTTATGTTATACAACACTGAAGAACCAGGCTCAGGAAATTAGTAGGAACCAGGATTACAGTTAAGACCTCTCCACTGGAATGGTTGTCTCAGGACATAACTGCCACCTCCACAGACTTCCCTGAAACTCTCCACTGAGATTACCACAAACAGCAGATAGCACTGTGTACACTGAATACCAACAACACTAATGTCACCTCAAAATGACTGGATATTGTCTAGATTCTTTGTGTCCCTTCTCCCATATTCAAAATCCCTGGCATGAGCGGCTCATTATCCAAATTTAGATCACGCACACACACTAGCTCATGAGAAAGACGAAAATTTATACCACGTGGACTTCTAAGGTGAAAGTAAGGATCTTGCTTGAAATAATAGAATTCCTATCACATAGGAACTTGAGCTCCTGGGCAGCAAAAATATAACAAATACCCCTAAACTATAACTCCTTCACTAATTAAAATCTGTATATATCCTTCTCTCAAAAATATGTTTCTGCCAAATATAATGATATCATCGTGTATAATTAAAACACATTTTTTTTACTCTTGCAACAAGGAGACCATCCAGAGTCCCATTATATACAAATCTAAATACATGTCTTGGCTCTTTAGTCACAATCTATTCTTCTCTAATTTTGCCTCCATCACACATAAATATTGTTCAGCCTGTGAACTCAGTATGCTCTATATGAAATAGTGGTGTGCTCTATATGAGCATACTGTGAACTCAGTATGCTCTATATGAAATGAGCAGGAAATAAAAGGTAGATTAGTTAAATATGTAACTATATACAAAGAGAGAGAGAGACAGAGCAAGTAAAATAATACAGAAGTGACTACACTTCTTGTTTATGGAAAATCATGAAGATGAATATGCCTTCCCCACTCCTTCATTTCATGTCCCCTTTGCCATCAGCCGGCACAAAAGCTGGTTGAATAACATTATCTCTGGGGTAATCCAAACCTTTATTCCTGAGAATTCTAAGTCTTAGATGATCCTGCTGTATATGACTAAAGTCACCTTTAAGCCATTTTTAATTTATTGCTATACTTGGCAATGCAAAGGTCTTCCCCAGCCCCACTTTCGTCTCAGTTGATTCTGTCCATTCTCCTTTCTGCCTCCACTGTGAACTAGCAACTCTATTTTTCTTCAGTGTCAGGATTAATCACCCCAGACAGCACTATAATCCCTCTTTTTAGTATACTCAACTCATGGTGAAGAACCTAAAAAGACCAAATAGCTGTCTCAGCTTCCAACTCAAAAGAACACTTGTTACAATGCCTGGTGGATGCATTCATCTCTTGCTTACTAAATCCTCTAAGCCAGAAGTGTTTGGAGTTAGCACAATTTCTAGGGCACATTATGAGCTGTAACCTGAAAAGCATAAAATTTTCTATCACCCTTCTTCTCCAGACTCGCATATTATCTATCTCTGAGAGAAATCATTCCATATACTGCTCTCCTGAACAGGAGTTCCAATCTCATAAGGAGAACTCCTAAATGAAACTGTAAGAGATCCTCCAATGAGCCTCTGAATTATACTGTAAGTGAGCTGCTTTGGGATGATAGGGTACATGATAAAACCACTTATCCCATGACCAGCAGCATATTACCTGATTTCACTCACAAAATAACAATTTCATGGCCAGAGAAATGTTGGACGACATAATCTGATGAGCTAAGAGGCATCTGTTAAGTCCATAATTAACGGTGCTTCTAGAAATATAATAGGCAGAAAAAACAAATCCAGTCCATATCCTTAAGGTGTTTTTCAGTTGGCACAAATACTTGATGTCCCACTAAAAAAAGTAATCACCCTGCCAAAAGTCCCACCCAGGTTCTAGCTCCTTAGCTAAAAATGGACTAATAATTCTACTGGAAAAATTGAGCCCTCAGCAACAGTGATAGCAAAATAATATAGAGAATCTCTCCTTAGTATATTTGTCCCTTTGGCTGTTGTAACAAATTGTCACAAACTCAGTAGCTTAAAACAACAAAAATTCATTCTCTCACAGTTCCGGGGTCCAGAAGTCAGAATCAAGACATCAGTAGGACCTTGTTCCTCCTGAAGACTCTAGGAGAATCTCCTTCCTTGCTTCTTTCAGCTTCTAGTGACCCCAGGTATCCTTTGGCTTTTGACTACGTAACTCCAATCTCTGCCTCCATCTTCACATGGCCTTCTCTGTGTCTCTCTTCTCCTCCACTGCCTCTTTTTTAAAAAATTAATCATAATAATTGTACACATTTGGACGTACATGTGATATTTTGATACATGCATATACTATGTAGCAATCAAATCAGGGCAATTGGGGTATCCATCACCTAAAACATTTATCATTTCTTCATATTGAGCACATCCCAAATCTTCTCTTCTAGATATTTTTAACTATACAATAAATTATTGCTAACCATAGTCACCTGACTGTGCTAACACTAGAGCCTATTTCTTCTCTATAACCATAATTTTGTACCCATTAACCAACCTCTCTTCATCCCTCCTTCCCCCTACACTTTCCAGCCTGTGGTAGCCATCATTCTACTCTCTACCTCCATGAGATCAACTTTTAAAGCTCCCACGTATGAGTGAGAACATGCAATATTTGTCTTTCTGTACCTAGCTTTTTGCACTTCACATAATGAGCTCCAGGCTCATCCATGTTGCCATGAACGACAGGGTTTTCTTTTTTGTGGCTGAATAATATTCCATCCTGTATATATACCACTATTCATCAGTTGATGGACACTTAGTTTGCTTCCACATCTTGGCTATTGTTCTGTCTCTTATAAGGATACATTTTGATGGATTTAGAAGCTACTCAGGAAATCCAGGTGATCTTGTCTCAAATTCCTTAACTTTATTAGACCTGTAAAGACTCTTTCTCAAATAAGGTCATATTCACAGATTCTGGGGATTAGGATGTGGGCATATCTTTTGGGGACCATCATTCAATCCAACACAGTAGTTTTCACTATCACCATTGCTACATAATTCATGAGATCATTATGCAAGTATGAGGAGAATGGGCGGGGAGGCTGACTGACATCTAGAGAGTGAGTTATCATCTATCCTGAACCTTAAGAGACTCTTGATAAGCATTCAAATGGTACACTAATATTTTTCCACTCTGAGAGCATTCAGATGGAAAAAGATATCCACTACCCTCTACCAAAATATTCTTGTTACTTCTAAGCTTCTGACTACCTGCTCAAATTATTAATCATTACCCACTGGTCCACTGGTTTTTGTTATTACTTAACTCAATCTATGACTTCTTCCAGGCAAATTAGACAACAGGATTACTTCTCTTTAGGACCAGCATTGAATTAAGAAGTACAATCATTTACCATAAGTCCACCAGTGCTGGCCCCAGGAAATCAGGAAGAAGCATCTGTAAACCAAGAGCTATCTATCTATCTACGTATCTATCCATTTATTGATTTATTTGGCATCTCAGGCTACTAATTAGTCACAGGAATCCTTCCATGAGGCCACTGGGGTTGAGAGAGAACAGCAGCGTAGCAGGATGATACCAGGAAGATGAGAATCCTCCTTGTGCAATTTAACATGTGCATTTAAGATTGGCTTGGAACCATTCCTGTGCATATGTGTGTGTGTATATGTGCACGTGGATGCATGGGTATGTGTGCATTTCACTTGAGGGAGTACTGCTGTGGATTCCTCACTTTATTTTTTGGTGAATGAGCTTGTGACTCATTCATAATGGGAAATTCAGATCATAATGCCAGGTATTTAGTCCTACCAAGGTCCAGTAGCATTTCAAGAGTTGTTTCTCAAAATAGGACTAGTTACTTACTGGAGAGGTCATAACTTTGATTTTTTAAATGATATTAGAGGTCTTGACTGAGAATTTACTACTGGAGCTCCATAAAGCATCCCAATCTGCTACAAACTCTTCAAGCTTCATTGGATCCGCTGGATCAAATGGGCTGCCAGGTAGAGTTGATTGCACTGCAGCCTGGACTGATTGCCAGGAGCTCTGTTGATATGAGTTAGTGAGGAGACAACATCTGGAACAGCAGCTGCACTTGGAGGCACCGCCTAATTAAGCTTACGATAATCCACACTCATTCTCCAAGACCCATCTGTCTTCCCCATCAAACTAATTGGAGAGTTGAATGGAGCTGCGATAGAAATGACCACAACCTACCATTTCAGTCATTGATGGTAGCACTAATCTCTCAGATTCTATGGGAATATCCTACTGCTCTTGGTTTTTCTTTTAGTAAGGAAGGTGAGATCCAGGACTTCCATCCTTGTTCTTTCCTTTCATAATAACTCTTATTCCTGAGTTAAGAAGTAAATGTGAGTATTTAGCCAGTTGTCTAGAGTATCTTTTCCAAGAACACACAGGAAATGAAGGGAAAAAGAAGAGGATGTGTCTGTAGGTCCCACTATGCCTACAGTGAGATGGGCTTGGGTCAAGACTCTATCACCTGAACATCATACATTTCTACTCTGACCATTGAACCACAGTGCCATTCTTCTATAACAGACATGTGTAATTTGGGAGCCATTATCTTAAAACAACTGAAAGGTCTACTTATATTCTTTTCTTCAGAATATATTTACACCAGAAAACGACCACAGGTCTAGAAATAGAGTAATGACTCTGTTTTTCCTTTGGTGAGCTTCATCCTGAGACATGGGGATTTTATGCAAATTTATTAGGAACTTTGTGATTGCCCATATATCTCAGATCTATAGACTCAATGATCAATAAATCAGTGTTAAATATCTATGTGTCTCTATTAGGGAAAGCACGAATAAATGGCCTCTGGAGGTTAAGTGCCTGACTTCTGCACCTGCCCTTCTCAATCATAGGATCTTTCCAATCTCCACTGTAATCAGGCAGACTATTTCAATATTAGTCCCTCCCATCAATATCCCCAACTGACAAGAGAAGCCACAATCACATTTTTGTAGATACTAGTAGTTCCCTCATAAGTATTTCTCAAGGCCTTAGTAAAAATGGTCATCTATGTCTACTTAGGCAACATAGTTAGGAAGTAGATGAGATTCATGTTATAAATTCGGTCATTTTATTTCTTTCTAGGTACTATTGTAAATAATTTATGGCATCTTAATTTTCTTTAGCATGATCAATAATCTATACAGCTTCCTGTATTAAAAGTAGCTTGCCCTCTCTATGAATTCAGATAATTGCACTATATGAAAAAAAAATAGACTAACCTAAGACTACATTTATTCACTTTTTGGTTGAGCATGTTTGGAATTTAATAAGACATATTCTCCCCTAGGTATTTTATTATACAAATTGTTAAGTATATTTATTTTGTGTATTTATTTTGTTGTATAAAACTATTACACAAAGTTTGACAACATAAATTAGTATGCTGAAATCCAAATTCAGTTACCAGTTTGAAATGAAAATGGGGGAAAGAGGGTTAGGATCTGAAGAGAACTGACTTAAGAGTGGGAAGGACTGCCTCTTCCAACAAAGAAAAGGGTTTTTACCTGAGCTATTTTGAATGCACCAACTGGCTAAGGAAGCTTAAAGAATTTGGATTCTGTGGCTATTTCAAGTCCTTCAAATCCTCCCATATATCTCCATTTTAATATTCAGAATGTCACTCTGTCCCATTTAATATTTTAACTCTCACCAAAGAAGCTGAAGAGGGGATAAGTAATGTGTTAACTTGGCAACTCAAGACTACCCTTTTTATTTATTTTTTGGATACCTCATCTCTACAGCTATAAGAGTCCAAATATTCTGCTAGCATCATCAGGTAAAGTTCCCTAAGCTTAAGTTTGTGACCCAAGAATTTAATATTTGAGCTTGTCATTCTTTTTTTATCCAAGCCACTTAGTTTGTCTAACAGCAGCCCCTCACACACCCAGTTAGTTTTTTTCAGCTGTTATTCAACATCAGCAAATTGATACCCAAAGCCTGATCTTCAATTTGCACTGGATTCCAAGTAATGGAAAGTTAACCGTTTTGTCATTGCTTACCACAGTCTGTCATCCTTCGATCACTGACACAACTGCATTTTCACTGCTTTTAACCCCAGTTATGCCAGGTACAATCCCAGACTTCCTCCTTTTCCCTGAGATCTGGTATATAATCTGCTCCTGGAACCAACTTTCATATTAGTCAAGATTGTGGCTGCCTAGAAAAAAAACAAACCTGGCTATAAAGCACCCAAAATAATTGAAGGATATTTATTGTATACTCCAAAATCAGTAAAAGCCCTGAAGGACAAGATTTTTAAATGGTCAAGAATCCATGGAGTATCATGTTAGCTGAGTATAGGGTCATATGACCAGACCTGAGGTGGTGGGATAGACAGAGAGAATTTATTTTTTCCTTTTTGAGATGGAGTCTCGCTCTGTCGCCAGGCTGGAGTGCAGTGGCGTGATTTCAGCTCACTGCAACCTCCACCTCCTGGGTTCAAGCGATTCTCCTGCCTCAGTGACAGAGGGAACTTCTATTCATCCTTTACTCCCATTAGCTTGCTCTGAATGAGAAGAGAAAATTAAACTCAGTAACTCACTAGAAGTGTGGAGGAGGCTATAAACAGATAAATATTAGTACCATATTACTGGATGAGAGTAACAGGTTGAGTGTCAAACGTGAGCTGACAAATACTTTAAAAAGCAATGATCTCAAACCCAATTCTATATGCTCTTCTACTGGGGCATATATTCATAGAGTCAGAGTCTTTATCTTATGGTTCCTTTAATCTCTTGCTGCATACAATAGCAACTTAAATGTGAATAAAATCCTTAATAATGTTTTCTTCAATTTCCCTTAATTTCTGATGGGTTTGAGCAAGTTAAACTACCTATGTGTAATTTTTCTCAAGGCTACTATAAGTAAAAAGATGTGTACAAGGAGCATTACATTATTTTTTACTTAGCTATAAGAGTTAGACATGAGAAGCATTTTAGTTAGAAGTATAAAGAACTTACTTACTTTAAATACTTTCTCTCTTTTATAAATGAAAATGTCCTTGTCTTTAATAATGTTCATCAATTTGAATATTCCTTTCTTTTTATGTCTTGGAGCTGTTAGACAGTATTTAGCTCTGAGGCTGACATTTGGTATTTTTACTGAATTTGATTTTACTTTCAGCTGTATTTTCAACCTTTTAAAAATATTGAGAATTAAGCACACTGACGAAGAACCAGGTAAAAAATTACGAATGCATATTTGTCAATAACATTAGGGACTCTGTGAGATATATACATATATATATGTGTGTACATACATATATACGTACATATATGCACACATATATATATATACTATTATTCTGAGACATTGCCTTCCTGAGGTCCTAACTGAGTCGGGATCATGCAAGTCTTCTCTGGAAATACAGTTGATCCTCTACATCTGTGGGTTCCACATTCAGGGATTGAACCAACTGTGGATCAAAAAAAATTGTGTTTGTAGTGGACATGTACAGTCTTTTTTTCTTGTCCTTACTCCCTAAACAATACAGCATAACAGTTATATTGTTTACATAGCATTTACATTTCATTAGGTATTACAGGTAATCTATAGATGATTTAAAGTATACAACAGGATGGGCATAGACTATATGCAAGTACCACTCCATTTTATATCAGGGACCTGAGCATCCTCAGATTTTGGTATCCAGAGAAGGTCCTTGAACCAATTGCTCATAGATACTGAGGGACAGCTATTCTTTCTTAGCATTTAAAATTTACAATCGCTCTTGTGCTTTCTTCAAATCTCATGAAGCTATAATGTCTCAGGCTACAGGTTCTTCCAGCCATCATTCACAAAATATTGATCCAACCTCCTACAGCTACAATTATGAGTGATGCCTTTCACAGTGTTGAAGATCAACAACACTTCTAATTGCCTCTCATTTGTTCAATTCTACTTGATCATTTCTCTGAAAATACCTCAAGTCAATATTAAACATGCATTTTACCATCAGCCATGATACTCTACCTGTGTCTTATTGCAAGTTGATTATTTACACCACTTCTGGAAGCCACAGTCTTTCAAAATTGTAGACCAGACCACAAAACACATGGCAAAAAGAGAGGCCCCAGTGCAGTGAGCCACACACACTGAGGAGCACACTCAGCTCGGGACAGCACAGCACAGCACTCTCTGAAGGTGAGAATTTGCAGCATGGTGGGTTCTTGCTCAATGGATGAGCATGTTCATTTGGTCATGAAGCTCTGACTGGCTAACAGCATACAAGAACATTTGGCAAGCACAGAGTTTACCAGTGTACTACCACACACACGTTTGTGTCTGCATGTGCATATTTTTTCAGAAAGATAGTTTAGAGACAAATGGCTTCATAGCAAATCCATGCTGCCCAAAGAAATGTAAAATCAGGCACACCTAGATTTCTGTATCCTTATTAATATTTGTGTATACATATATAATATTTGAAATGTCTGTAGAAAATGTCAAAAGACACTAAAATCTAAATCATATATATCTGTTGTGTATGTGTTTATATACAGTCTTTATATGTTGTTCAAAGATGGCCTATGTAGCCTGTTACTTTATCACAAACTTTTTTTATCTTTTCTTTTTTTGAGATAACATTCAAGAAAAGCTAGCAGGCTTTTACCCAATTTGGTTTGAATAGAATGGGAAAATGAAATTTCCTATCATACTCCATCTAATGCTTCCACCGAAGCACTTTTATTTTGAAATATTTTTTTATTTTCATGCTTCTGTTTAGAAAAAATTCTGCGTATATATTATGGAAATTGCATCCATAAACAGGTAAAATATATAGATGTGAAGATAATTTTCTTCTATTCCGCTTATTCTCTAATTATATTTATACCAGGGAAACACAACACATTTCGGAATAGTTTTCTTTGGGTGATTATTGATATTATTCTGTTAACCACTAGGTCTTCTCAAAAGTGTCACTGCTATTTTAATACATATTGATCTCTTTTTAAATTTTTTTAAAATTTCAATACTTTTCGGAGAACAGCTGGTGTTTGGTTACACGGATAAGTTCTTTAGTGGTGATTTCTGAGATTTTGGTGCACCCATCACCTGAGCACCGTACCCAATGTGTGGTCTTTTTTACCTCACCCCCCTCACACTCTTGCCTCCAAGTTCCCAAAGTCCAGTGTATCCTTAAGCTGATGAACTTCTTTGTTTTCAAAATATTTAGTTTGCTTTTTTCATTTTTTCTCACCTACATTTTTCTTCAAAATTAATGACTGCAAATCTTGTGCTTCTTTTTATTCTTTAACCCAATTTGTTTTTCTTTGTATGTTTGTTATTAACACCAATTAGCACACATACCCGCAAATTTTTATTCTTCCCAGCATTCCTACACATTTACAATTAGTGTCTATGTTCAGCACCTTCATTACTCTTCCAAATCACAGGACCTATTTTTTTTATTGCTTTTCCATTTGAAGCCCAATTTTATTACTTAGTACCTCTCCAGCAATTAATTCACTATTTTATTTTATTTTATTTTATTTTATTTTATTTTATTTTATTTTATTTTATTTATTTTATTTTATTTTATTTTAGAAACAGTGTTTCACTCTGTCACCCAGGCTGGAGTGCAGTGGGGCAATCATAGCTCACTATAACCTCGAACTCCTGGACTCAGGCGATCCTCCCACCTCAGTCTCCCAAGTAGCTAGGACTACAGGTGCACCACCACACCCAGCTAATGTTTCTGCTTTTTGGAGAAATAGTGTCTTGCTAGGTTGTCCAGGCTGGTCTCTAACTCCTGGCCTCAAACGATTCTTCTGCCTCAGCCTCCCAAAGTACTGGGATTCGAGGTATAAGCCATTGTATCCTGCCCGATTTACTCTATTTGAATTGTTGCTATGTGTCACATGAGAGAGAACAGCATGCTCCAATGGTCCAAGTAACCTCTTACCAAAGCACATACTCTGAGACTTTGCAGTTACCTCCGTGTGTGCATGTGTGTGTGTGAGTGTGTGTGTATTTAGTTTACTAACATTTTGAAGCTCCTACTGTATGAAGTACTTTGTATATAGCACTCCAGAGGGGACACAAAAGAAACAGCCTCCACCTTTAATATATTTATAAATTCACTAGAAAAATGCTTAGAAGAAGTAAAATCAATTATTCGTTAAAATGTTAATCAGCCCCAAATGGCATAGTTTATTTATGCAATGCTCCAGCAAATTTTTATCAATGCCTACTATGTACCAGTAGGCCAGGTCTAGGAGTGCAGCAAAATCATGGTATCGGGCCCCACAGCCTTTGAAGTGTGAACAGAAACCTCAAGTGTGGTGAGCATTAAAAAGGACAGACCTTTTGGAGTAGGCAACACAAAAACTCATCCTAATCATGGGGATCAGAAAAGGCTCGATTGAGTTACTGATGTTTACACTAAAAAGATTAATAACATTGAGTAGATAAAAGGAAAGAAGTGGAGAACAAGGACTGCATTGTTGTAGTATTGGCTAAAGAAATTCTTAAATTGGGGTTTTAAAAAAGGCATTTGGAAAGAAAAAACCTTAAGAGGGGCATGCAAGTCAATCTAAATATATTTTTAAAGGATTAACTATGTTTTCTGTGAAAAATTCTGTGTACTGGGAGGGACATGGATTAGTGAAAATGACTGAGGAACAGATTCCAAGTGGAAGAAACACCTGAGTGAAGAATGGAAGGCAAAATTCTGTGTGTATTGGCTTGACCATGGAAGAGAAGCTAGGCAGGAAAGAGGTTGCAGAGAGATGAGGAAAGTCAGTAGAACCTTTACTATCTGAGAAACTATGGTCTAGAAAGTAAATACAAAATAAATGAGAATAAGAGGAATTCGAGGCTAGAAGGGGAATCCCTGGGATACTGTGAGTGTTATTGCCTGGATTAGGGTAATGCGGCAGATGCTTGGTGCCCTGCCCAAATCCCCTTGGCATCCCATTCCCATTTCCATACACACCACCTGCTACCTACCACAAGCATCTGTGACTCTCCATCCTCGGGCTTTCTCTGGCCACAGAAGCATGCCTGGTCTATCTGGGGCACAGGCCAGAAGTTTGGGGAGGTTAATGCCCTTAACCAGTGAAGCACGGAAATTAGCTGATCAGTACCCTAGTTCTCTTGCCCCAGCAGAGGGGGACAACTCTGGGGCATGTTCTACTCAGTCTTCCAGCGCTCTCTTTCAGGAGAGAGCACCGGGACCTTCTATTAGCTTTCTTCACTTCTCTGTATTACTTCTCTACTCTCTTAGCCTTTCTGAGATCAACTCCAAAAAAACTGCTTGCATCAAATCCTGGTCTCATAGTCTGCTTCTGGGGAAACTAAGTCTGAGCAGTGAGTTACTAAGAAAATTGAGGAAGAGTGGGGAGTCTTTGGAGATAGCGATAAAGAGATATTCCCTCGTTGAGTGTTTAACCTATGAATTAACTGCCCATCCCCATCATACACATCCAACTCCACGTTCCCCTGATAACAAAGATAACACTTCTTAGTTACATTCTGTTTATCCACTAAATGTACAATAATGGATCACACCAATACTGTCACTGAGAGAGATATGATCCCGCGTTTACAAAAATTTGCAAAAATATAATTTTTAGTGTTTTACATTATTGAGTCCTGGTTATTAATCTCTGCTTGTTTTGGTTACCACATCACAGTGAATGAGAACCCATAAAGTCAGGACATTTCAACATTAATAAAGACCTAAAACACACACAGGCAGAACACTCACTTTATAGGTATTGGAACTGAGACTTAGGGGAAAGAAATGACTTCAGCAAAGTCACACAGCTGGTGACAGGAGGCCTGGGAGTAAGATCTGGTTTCCCTTTCTCTCTGCCAAGTTCAACTTATACATAGCTGTCTTCCAGCAGGGCCAAATACCTTCAAAAATAATAGGAAACTTTGGTTTTACTACACACACACACACACACACACACACACACACACACACACACAAACACAGTAATAGACCAAGATGAACCACTTTGAAGGAAGTTGCCCTTAGTGTTAACAAAAGAGCAGATTTTAGACACAGAAATCACGATTCATAACATTCAAAAACTTGTCCTCCTGCCACGTTTTTTTTTCTGGATTGAAAGATAATAGAAGTTATGTATAGGAGAAGCAGTTCCCTACCCTCTGGTAATGAGAAGATATTTATCTAAGTGACCTTTGTTATTTAATACAGAGAAGACTTTTCAAGTAAGACAGGAAATAGCTGATATCTACTTATCAAAACACCACTCACCAGAATTTAGAAATGAAAATAAAAAAGGGAAAGATGAGTTTGAGCTGAAAACTTCTAGAAAAAAGCAACAAAGACAACCAATGTTGCCCCAGAGGTTGGCAAATGTTAACACAGTTGCGTTGTGGAAACTAATTTGGGTTCACAAAATCAGATGTGTAGAAAGTGCATCATTTTTATAATTATATAACTGAATTAATTTCCGTATCAAGCTCGCAGTCCCCCAGGTGACAAAACTTAATTTCCAACAAATCATGTCCTTGTGCCAAGGTTGCCTCTAAGTTTCTGGGAAACCTTGCAATGTGCTGGAGCATCCACGGGAGAGGGGGATGAACTTTGGATCTGGGTTTTCCATCCATACATGTTCCTGCTCCATCTGGCTCACACTGACCATCAAGCTCTTGCGGTCAGCTGAATTTCAGTGTCGTGTTTGTACCGTTTTCCTATGGCTGCATAGGAAAATGGTTTGCTTCTCCTCGTGCCATGCTGGAGAGTACAGGGACTCTCGGGAGTTAACTCAGTCCACTAGCCTGGACACCAATCATGACATTTCATCTGCTCCTGTGCCATGGAAAAATTCAGGGAACTTGCTGTTTTCCCAAGCCCTCCCCAGAAAGGCAGCACCAGTCTCTTCTATATCTCAGATTTTCAGCCGCTTCCAGGTCCTGGGACTCAGGCCATGGAGTACAGGCAGAGAGTTTCCAGGAACAGCCAATCTCTAATTCCCTCTCCTTCCCCAGCCCATGTACCTCCTCCAGCCTAGGCTCTATAACTAGGAAAACTGGCCCTGGCTCATTACAGATTCTTCCAAATCTTGCCTGTGTTTCGACCGCAACTTTTGACAATTCCATAAGGCAAAATGTTCACTCTGTTTTTTCTCTCTGTTTTGGATGCCTCATGGGTTAGCTGCTTAAGTAGATAAGATGTCACGGAATAACAACTGCAACAACAAAAAAAAGTAGAAGATTAATCAGCAATTAATATATGAAAATATGTCTTCAGGGACAGTGACACAAAATTTAATTATTATTCTACCATTTCATGTGTAATATAAGATCAAACAGTGATTAAAATCGGGACTAGTGAATGACAGTGAGTCTGCAAATAGTAGGCCGTTTCCAAAACAGCGTGGCAACAGATAGGAAAATCTTAGACACACACACACACACACACACACACACACAAGCTCTACTCAGAGTTTTCCACTAATAAAAGAAAAGCTTAATGCTGTATAAACTCACCCCCTCACTACCACCACCACCAATGTGTTGAAGTGCTAGCTTTACCCTACTGATTCGCTGGTGGGTTGAAGGGCTCATTATCCCACCCACTGTAACTTACCTATTGATGGAAGTGTCTCCTGTGGATCATTTCATTTTAATTGTTTTACTGTACCAGTCCCTAATACAGTCCCACCCAGATCCACAAGTTACTCAACTTTTCATCTTCACAACAATGAGATGAACAAGTTCCATCCTCTTGATTTGAAATGTACAAGAACAAGACCCACAAAGCACAACAGTGGCTGAGCTGGGACTGGAATTCAGTTGTCTTTATTTTCAGTTATGTGTTTTGTTCTATTTTGTTCTGTTTGTGTTGTTTATTGTTTTTATCCTCTGGGCCATGCTGATTCCAGTGTTAGCCGATATCAGAGATGTGAGCCAAGTATGTCTTAGCCTTGAAGCAGTTCATTCCTGACTTCTTTTTTTTTTTTTTTTGAGACAGAGTCTCACTCTGTCACCCAGGCTGGAGTGCAGTGGCGCGATCTCCCCTCACTGCAAGCTCCGCCTTCTGGGTTCACGCCATTCTCCTGCCTCAGCCTCCCAAGTAGCTGGGACTACAGGCGCCCGCCACCACGCCTGGCTAATTTTTTGTATTTTTAGCAGAGACGGGGTTTCATCATGTTAGCCAGGATGGTCTCGATCTCCTGACCTCGTGATCCACCCACCTCAGCCTCCCAAAGTGCTGGGATTACAGGCGTGAGCCACCGTGCCCGGCCTCATTCCTGACTTCTTTAAGGTAGTAGATGTCATCTCAGTCATCTCATTAGATGATGGCATTTGACTGGAATCTAAAAACATTTTATTTGAATTTTATGGAAATATATTTGTCTCCTCAGTAAGCAGCAGCAGTCAGTAGATAGAGTTAGTTCTCCTATATACAACAATCTTATTTAGCAAGAAAACATTTCTTAGAAAATAATTTCTAGGCTAGAGACACAATTTTAATTAAGTAGAAACCACTCAATATAATAGAAGCTACAAATAACTGTTTTGTGGATATCCTTCTCAGGTCAAAAATAATTTGGTAAAACAACTTCCTGAAATTATATCCATTTTAGGTCTCATTACATCATGCAATTGAAAGCTCAATGAAATTCTGATTAGTAGCCTGCTGTTAAATGATACCACATAAAAGGCAAAATGTCATTTAATTGATAAGCAACTAAAAACTTAACTAGGCTATATACCCTCAGCAAATGAGTATACATCAAAAACAATGATGTTATATTTCTTCATTAATCCTAAAAATGCACTCTGGCACATGCAATGTGCTGAGTGAAGTTTGTCTTTGTACCCAACACCCTCCTTCTTTAACTTGAAGACAGGCTCAGTCTCTCTTATTAACCAGTATTTATGGAGCACTTACTTGGGACAAGTTACCATGCTAACCATTATGGGGTCTTAAAATGAATAATAAAAATGGTCCCTTCCTTAAAGTATTAGTTTACTAAATATCTGTTACAGAAGATATATTATTTTTAATGCTAAATTTCTAAAACTAAATCCTAGACATTAGACAGGAGTATTGATCAAAGCTCAGGCAGCCAACCTTTGCAGGCACCAATCTTTTCTCCAACATTCTTCTAATTCCTGTCAATCTTGGCTGATGATCACAGCAGCAGCCATTCAAAGTGAGAAGAACTGTTCCCTCTTGAGCTCTATGGTCCATTTATGGCCACCTCACCTTTTCTTTACTTATTCATAGCACAGCTGAGGTAAAGCCTGCATATTTCAGCGAGGTTTATTAATAACTAAGGGACAAACAACAAAAGAGAAATAAACACACACACACGCACACAAACACACACACACATACACGCAAACCATGGCATGTGATGGTGTGATTTAGACCATATATGTATTTATTCTGTTTAAGGAGTCACTTCCCTGTCTAGCTCCGAGCCTCACATCACACGGAAGAGGCTACCTATAAACTTTACCACCTTAGAAGCACAGTTGAGAATTTCTAGATTCAGCAGGCAATGGACAGAATGGTTGTGATCATGGGCTTTGAGGTCAGTTAGAAATGAGTTCAAAACCCAGCTTTGCTATATTTCTGTGTAGATTTCAGCTGTAAGTATCTATAATCCTCTGAAAATTGCATTAATAATGCCTGCCTTATTGGGTTGTTCTCAGAATTAAAAGAAATAACAAGTACTTGCCACATCACAGACCATAACTGCACAATAAGTAGTATTAATGTTATCATCCTTATAACAATGATCATGTAAAAGCATAAGAGATATCAAAACCCAAGGTGAATGGAGTTATCTCTTGCTTACCTAGAGCCTACCATCCATACTTTCATTTTCTGTCTCATGGCCTGTTTTATCCTAGTTAATTGGTACCAAGAAAGTCCACTCCAATCAGTAAAGACTATGTGGACATTTAGCAACAGCACTACTAAAAGGCAAAAACAAAATAATCCACTCAGTAAATAAAAACACACAATCCTGCATGACATATACATATATGGAATGCATATAATTATGCATGAAGGGTTAAACAATAATTAAAAGATAATTCAAGGCTTTACATAATTAAATAGAAAACAAATACACAACCAGCTTTGAGGGAGAGAAAGAGGAAAAGAGAGAAATTGATAAACATGATTTTTTAAAAGACTCCCTGGTCAAATAAGTTTTAGAAATTCTGGTTTAAAAACATTAAAAGTTTCATATTGTAAGGCTTCTCATAATCTGTAATAAGCTAATGTGCACTATGGAGCTCACATACTGGGTACATAATTTGTAGTGTTTTCATAATTTATATAGGCTGGGCTTTTGCAAATGTGTCTCACTCTTTGCTTGTTTGTTTGGTGGTAGTACAGATAGTTCATGAACTAGAGTTCTTTGGAATACATTTTGAAAAATACTGGTAAATTCGAAAAAGTATTATTATTCTAGCAGATAGATAGCTCTATGTGCTCTAACAGGCTGGCAAGTTTTAATGGGAAAGAGGTTTTAATCTCTTTGAAAAATGAGTAGGACAGAGCATTCAACATCAGAATTAATAAATTGATACATAGCTACTTAAAGATATTTTTACATATTCATTTATTTATAACATTCCCTTTTTATTTCACTTATACTTTTAATATCCACAAGGGATTTGAGGTGGCTCCCAGAGGTATATTTACCCCTCACAACCACTTAGCTACCACTTCAAAATAGTCCTTTACATTGCATGATATATTGTGGTTTCAAAGTCTTCACATGCAGGTTTCTCAGAATATGATGTGCTTAAGAATGTTGGGGGCAGGGGTGTGCAGTCTTGTTGGTAATAGTGATTCTCAGCCTGCAGTCAGATTCCTGTACTTTTAGCAAACATCTCAGGTTCCTCTATATAGGTAATGTTAAGACTATACTTTTTAAAAATGTTGCTTTAGATTAACGTTATTTTAAAATAATAGCTAATCAAAACTTTATCTTATTAAACTCTAAAAGCATAGATATTTCTCTAGAAATACAGATGATGAATGGGTGGATAGATGACAGTTAATAGATGGATTCCAAGGGTTTAAAGATGATAGATAGATGATAGATAGATAGGTAGATAGACAGACAGATAGATAGATAGATAGATAGATAGATAGATAGATAGATAGATAGACAGATGACAGATAGATAATAGATGGATTCCAAGGCTTTTAAATACATAAGTTATACATAGGGATAATCTAGACCGGATATTTCTAGTTTTTTGCTGGAATAATTTGTCTCTGCAAAGAGGTGACTTGAACTTCTAACGTATTTGTTTCAAATTGAGAAATAAAGAAAGGAAGAAGGGAAGGAAGAAAAGGAAGAATGGGGAAGAGAAGGGAGGATGGGAAGGAGGAAGAGAACAAAGCTGGTAGTTGTCTTTAAATATTTCTATTTCATTAAGAGAGTTTAAAGGGCAGAATTTGCCTTATATAATCATGATTAAGGATAATAAATAATTTGATTTAGAGCCACTGAGTTCAATGCCTATAGAAAGTAATGGTTAAATCTCTTAGAATTATGGCAGCTTTAGTTTCGTTATCTTTAGTGGCCAACCCCTCTCCACCTGCTCTTCCAAATGAGGAACATGGAATCTGGGTGCTGTGATATGCTGAAGGTTGTAGAGGCAGTTAGTGACAGTGATAGGGTCAGTCTTTTATGATGACTGTTGGGTCCTAGCCAAAAGCTGCACATAAGGCTGCATCTGAGAACAGCAGGAAAGAGGTATACCTGTAACAAAGCCTGGGGTCAAGAGTTAACCACATTTCTGTGGCAGGCCCTGCAGCAGTCACAACAGCCTAAGTCATAATGTGTGAGGAGCAGGTAAAGTCAGCTGACTTGGCTGGCAGCCCTACCTAAGGGTCCTTGGCAAGGTGAAGCGCAGCAACCAGAACCTTTCTAGGGTAAACAAGCGTTAGGTCAATAATCTATATGTCTAGTTTCTTAACAACTAAGGGATAACTAAAGAAAAATAAACACACACAACAAAACAACATGGTATAAGATGGTGAGGCTTGCACGGTCCTTGGGGGAAGTGGTGCCTGCCCTTGTGAATCAGAACCACAGCTGTCAAGTTCAGCCTGTCCCAGACCCATCCCAACATCCCCTAATGATTACCTGCCATCTGCGTTCTTGGCCACACCCATCTAGGCACCAAAAACTGACTCAGCCTAGCAGAATTAGAAGCTCTGACCCTGCCCGCTTGCAACTGGGGTCTGGAAACTGTCCATTGCTGTCTTAAGTCATGCAGCCTGGAGGACAACAGAATCCTCTGTGCCAGAAAGAATATTACATTTCAAGTTCCCTAATTAACCCTCATGTCACAGCCAACTTGTCTAACTGACCCTTTTGAAAGTTCGTTTATAATGCTGGGTTTCTCTTGCAAGCAACTTCTCCATGGTAGGGAATCAGGAACCTATCTCTGAACGCCAGTCAGCCAACTGGGGAGCCAAATCTTTCTCACCTGGTGGGGGAGGGTAGGAAGATGAGGGAGGATGGGAGAATGTTAATACTGGAGGAGAGTAAGGTGGCAAGGAGCAGGAAGTGCATCAGGAACTTAGCACATCAGACCTCAGTGGAATGCAGGGGTCCAGCCACAATGAAGTTTTGAAAAGTAAAAACCCATTCTATATAAAAGTGAAAATTAGAAAATCACAGAAGATTTGCTGGGTGTGGTGGCTCATGCCTGTAATCCCAGCCCTTTGGGAGGCCAAGGTGGGCGGATCACTTGAGGTCAGGAGTTCAAGACCAGCCTGCCCAACATGGTAAAATATTTTATCTACCAAAAGAAAAAAAAAATTAGCAGGATGCATGCTTGTAATCCCAGCTACTTGAGAGGCTGGGGCAGGAGAATCGCTTGAACCCAGGAGGCAGAGGTTGCAGTGAGCTCAGATAACACCACTGCACTCCAGCCTGGGTGATAGAATTAGACTCCATCTCAAAAAAAACAAAAAAAGAGATTACCAAGAAGATTACTCAGTACAATGAGTTCACGAGATTCATAGCTGGGTGATTTACTCAGATATGACAGACACCAGACTCAGAACTATGGTAATGAAGCTTTCATTAAACTTGTAGCCTGGGGCAATGTCAGGACAGGCAGCAGGCATGGCTGTATCCAGGGGATGGAGATCCTGGGCTCCCTTGAGAAGAACTAGGGAAGACTGGGACTGACTTTAATTTGTTGTGTTAAAACTGCAACACTTTTCATTAATTATTCTTTGAATGTTGGCATGTTTTCTCTACCACTTTTGGCACATCTATCTTTTTGCTGCTTTTTCGAGGTGATGACTAATGCATGTAATGGTTAGAAAAAAATATAAAACTATGCAATGCTGAGTTCATTTTTATAGCAGCCTTGATCCTTTTTTTCCTTAGGTATCTTCCTAAACAGCCTTGATCTTTTTTTGAAGTTTGATTTAATAAGACCATCAGTCATTGGCGTGTTCGATATAATGAGTGCCTGACAGATGTAGCACAGAATTGCTGGACTCTCTTACCAGGAACGGGGTTAAGCTTCCTCACCAAGAAGCCTAGCTCTGGCCTTCTCTGCCCCTACCCTTCCCTAAGGCTGCCTCCAGCATTCCCTCCAATAGTCTCATGGTTCTAACCTTTTTCTTTTTGATACCCTTCTTCTTCAGCATCCTTTCCTCCTAAGTTCTCCAGGGTTCCTTTCTCCACACATTTCTCCTTTCACCTGGTGTTAATTCTTGTCCTCATCCTACCTGCTGATGACCTCAAAGACCTTTTGCATGATTTCAAGATATCTGTGGAATAATTTCACAGTCCTGCCATCAACATTTTTTACCAACTAAAGCATGAAGGAAATGGATCTACTCCTTTTCTTCAAGCACATAGCTCTCTGTGTGTAGAACTCTTGTCCTCATGGTCTTCATTACCTGACAACTACTCCCACCCTGAATTCCTCAATCTTCCCTCTCAAAGTATGACTCCTTCCACGTATCCATCCATTTATTGATTGGTTTTCTATTCATTTGGCCCTTTTGTTGTGTCTTGACATAATGACTCCTCACTCCTCTTCCCAAAATGAGGACCTCAGATGTATGTCATAATTATGTCTCAATGTGTCTCATTACTGAGCCTAAAATTGAGCATCTCCAGCAAGACTATTTTGGTTACAAAGTTTGGACACTGTTGAGTGACCTGATTACTAAAGAGAGAACTTGAAATCAAAGCACAAGGGCACAGTTCCCACCTGCTGCCCTGTCCCCCAGCCTCAGGAACTTCCAGAAAGTGTCCACTGACTCTGTTTACCTCATCAGGGACTAACTGAAGAAACGCCTCCTCATGATATTCATATATTAAAAAATTCTCCAAGGACCCCACAGAGCATTTCTCAGTTAAGGACTCCTCAAAACAACAGCAGAGAACACATTGTTTCAAAAGCATTTCTTACATATTTTAAAAAAACACCACTATCAGAACTTTCAGGTTCCATAGGTTTCCCTCAAACAGAATTATGATTAATGAAAACCAAATTTTAAAAGTAAGAAACCTTGTCATTTTTCCCCAACTCTCACATACTGTGTTGATGCTCCTCCTACCCACCCACCCCTATCTCAATCCATCCTGAACCCAAGATGTTTGTGAGAATCCCTGAGAAGCTTGTGATCCAAACTCATGATCTGGACTCGCATATCCCCAAGGCACCGGGGCCCAGCTCTGAATTCTTTTTCAGCAGACATTTATGGCATTGAGTGAGGGTGTGCGTGTGTGTGTGTGTGTGTGTGTGTGTGTGTGTGTGTGTGTGTGATGCTCCTGCTTTCAAGGCTTTACTGTGCAGTAGAAATGCAAGAGTTGACATTTACTAAAAGTATCAAATATTTGCCATTCACTGTGCTAGGTTCTTTACATCCATTACAACACTTGATCTTTGTAGCTTTTTTTTATAAAGTGGATATTACTATTGCCATTTTAGAAATTAAAAAAAAAATCTTGAGGCAGAGAAAGAAGAAGCAACTAGCATTATCACACAGCAATTGTCAGAGACTGGTTTTGGACTCACGTTTGTCTGGCTCCAGGGTCCACAAATTTTCTCAATTTCAACCAACCTACTTTACCACCCTTACTTCCCATCTTTCCAATTCACTCCTCTAGAACCACACCTCTATCAATCCTTTAGCCTCCCAAGACTGACTGTCCATTGTTCCCACACATTTTCACTGTACCCCACCCTTCTCACGTCCCTCCTTCCCTTGTTCCCCACTTCAAATCCATGGTTGATCATCAGAAGCGCTCCTTGGCTCACACCTTTGGTTCTGCGGTGGTTTGCTCTCTTTGCATGCTCATTTGGTAAAACTCCAATCCCAGTTAAACCCAATGCTCCACTTCCTTTGTGTCTGCTTCCTCCCCATGGCTCAGAGCTGGAGAGAAACACACAGCCAATAGGACTGGTCTCGGGTGAGCCACAAACATCAGGTTAGCCCTTAATGATGGGCACTTTTATGATTGTTGTACCACATGTTTAAACAGCTGACTATAAGAAAACTGGATGAGATAAGTTCTATAACTCCCCAAATATGTCCCAAGGTGAAATCTAGTATATACACATACGATTAAGCATTGGCTGAAATTATATTAGTTGATGAAGGCTATTTCTCCTAGTTTCTTTAAGCTCTCCTTATTCTTCCTGGAAACATATGAAGCTTACTTTTAGAACCAACGTCTCCACCTTTGCCAAACAACAGAGAAATCTAAGTGGCTATAATAAAAGTGCAAATAGTCTTTATCTTGGCCAACAGCAATGCATCCAAGCATCAGCAGAGAAAGACTGGCTGGCCACCTGCATGTTTCCTCATAGCAATAGCATCTTCTCCCTCACCATTTCAGGCTCAAAATCTGAATGCTTCCAGAGTACTGAGAGTGAACACAAGCTCTCAGTGTAAACTCACAAGAATCAAACTGACAAACGGATGTACAAAACCAGAATACAACTACATGTAGGCCTGTTGCAAAGTCCCCAATATTTGAAGCAGCATAACCAGCTCTCCTCCCCAATATAAAAAGCCACATCAGAAGCAGGTTGATTGAGGAGCTTGGCATGAGAGGAAAAGAAGTTACCTCAGTTAAGTTCATAATAGCATTAGTCTAAGATAGCTTAAGGCATCCAGCGCCACAATGGGACTGGAATTCTGGTAGTCCCTTGGCCCCCATTCCTTTGCACAGTGCTTGGGAGATCACTTATTAGCTTCTGTGATCCTCTCCCCTTCCCACCATAATATTCAAAATATCTTCCTTTAACATTAATTCATTCAATTTGGTCACTGTTACATCTCACGGACATGAAAACCATTCTATCTGTTTATGCTAATTTGACTGGCTGGAGGCAATGGCTCATGCCTGTAATTCCAGCACTTTGGGAGGTCAAGGTGGGAGGATTGCTTGAAGGTAGGAGTTCAAGACCAGTCCGCGCAAAATAGTGAGACCCCAGCCTCTACAAAAAAATAATAATAATAAATAACTAAAAAAAGATAACTTGACATAACTCTAATTTCTTACACCTTGGTTTCATAGGTAAATTATCAGAGTTGAATTACAAGAGAAAGTGCTATGAGGTATCCTGTCGGAGATAAGAAAATCAGGTAGGATACTTAGGGCCCTTCATCTTTCTTCTTCACCTATGCACAGGGCTGGTACATCTGGATATGTGCCAAAAAACTGATTCAAGAGGAAAATTCAATTAGCAGTAGCAAAGATCCCCCCAAATTGCCCATGTGTGGCTGGTATTTTTTTCAAAGAGTTATTATTACAGCAAAATGCTGCTATTTAGTCCATGTCACCCCTGCACACCATCAGATCTGTAAAAACAAGGAAATTATTTCATCTTGTATTGTCTTTTTGGTTCAAAACAATCTGAACCCATCTTCATCATCAAGAGCGTTTGTGATACAGGTATTCATTTGACTGCAATGTAAGAAACAAGATATCAAAGATATTGTTTTCTCTGCTTTGTCTTTTCTGCACCCTCAATTTATTTTCTTTGAAATCTGGTCGAAAAAAAAGAAGCTTACTGCTTCAAAATTCATTATTAGTACAATAAGATCGTTTTCACAGAATGTAGTAACTATGGATGGAATTCAAACTACTGATGTCTATATTATGATCATATTTTTCAACTAAAAGTCTCTTTTTAAATTAATTACAGCATACCAGTTAATTCCTCTGAGCATTCAGATTTTTCACCATAAGTAATTAACTCCTCTGACCCTCCCTCATCTTTTTTAACACCATGAGCCACTGTCATTAGCATCGAGTCAGATGTGCTTTCTCATCCGTGCCGCACACAGAGGCAAGTCACAGCCACAGCCCTCTGACTTCTAAATGCACACGTGCATAAGTGTGCAGAGATCCTCTCTCCTTGGAGGCTTCCTGCACAAAGACTTGGATTTCTGATGGAAACGCCACTGAGGTGATCTTTGCCATCTGTCCGGTGTTTCTGGAGAGGCATCACGGGTTCATGTCGGAGGAGAGAGAGTTGATGTGTTCCTCACATTGGTCTGTGTTATTTTTTCCACCCACCAAGCCAGTAAGCTGGCAGGGGGCCACTTTCTATTTTCTCAGAAGCACAGAGTGGTTCCCCTGTATTTTAAAAAGGCAAATGCTGCCTTATTCAACCTAATAATTCCTCAAAAAACAAGAGCAAATAACTGAGCCCACTGCATTTTATGCCTGAGGAATAAGCCGAGGCAACATTCTAAATACTTTAGCTTCTCCTTCCTAAAAGACAGAAAAGTAGGGTAGAAAATGGGCTGTCTTCAATGGGAGCCACCCACCTTCTGACACTCTGAGTACAAGAATGTGCTATTCCTAGTTCATCCTGCAATTCCCAAACAGAATTTGATCAAACCCTAGTACCAGGTAGCCCTGTCATAAGTGCGTCATCCATTTAAAACAGCACGTATCCACTTTTAACAGAAGCCGATCTGAAATTGTTGACTGTCTATTCTGATATATATAACTAGAGTTCTAGGAATGATGTTGAAGCATAGGCATTTGGGGAAGGCACACTTGGGTGTCGTGTCAAAGCCAGAGAATTGGCACACTGACATTGAAGAGGGCTTGAGAAAAAGACCTTTAGGTGCAAGGAAAGAAGTTTTGATTACCAACAATAACCCTTCTACTAGTGTCTGGGGAAAAGTTACTGAAACTCAGCTTTGCCATGCGATCAATTTAGTTTTTCATTGATACTTTAACATACAGTTACTATGATTTTTTAAAATTCTAGTATTAGTCTTCCACGTTAACTTTGTCTGTTCAAAACTAAGTTGTTGTCCCCTCTTATTTACAAGAGGTAAGTGGTTAAGTAATTCAGGTCTTTCTTTGAAAAACTGTATTAGGTGACTATCCTTAGTGAAACACTTTGCTATGTTCCACAGTGGATACAAGGTTCATAAAACAACAAATTTTATGTATAAAATAAGGTCAATAAAATATGGTAAGAACTCTCAGCCAGAAATGAGAAAATAAAACAAGGTTCTCAGAGCAATCATTTCCTGTTTTTAAGCCTCAACTTTTTAATCTATCAAATGAGAAAATCTGTTAGGAGGTTTCTAAATTCATTTACAATGTTAACATTCCTTCACAGGTCTTTATTTTCCTCCTACTAGATCTGCTTTGTTTTAAAACCTGTCTCATTTTTCCATGCAACAATTTCTCTCTCTGATCCTATATTACTTTCCTAGCAATTTCATCTACTCCCATAGCTTTAATTTCCACTTTCAGACTTTTAATACCAAAATGTTGTAGATGATAGATAGATAGATAGATAGATAGATAGATAGATAGATAGATAGATAAACTTATCTCCCATTCTTCAAACCTGATATACAGCTTCCTACCAAATGTCTCACCTGTATGTCCCAAATTCATCACAAACGTTCATGTTCAAAATTGAAAACCTTCTTCTTTTCTTGTATCTGTCTCAATAAATAATAATACTGGCTACCCAAATACCAAAACAAAGAACTGGAAATTTTCCTTGATAGCTTCTCTAGCCATCCAACTGGTACTCTGACCTGCTGATTCTTCCTCTTCTATTCTCATGCCTCTAATCCCTCTTCCAGGGCTACCATCAGAGTCATCAGAGTGACTTTTCCAAATCCTAAATATGTTAATCTATCTTTTTGTAAGTTTGAATCATTTAGTCATATGTTTGTTGCTGCTGTCACCATCTTAAAATCCACCAGTGGTTCCCTATTACCAAAAAGTGCTTCTCAATTTGGAATACACATTGCTCAGGAGGCCTGGTAATGTGCTGGGGGAATTCAAAACTCAGGATAACATCTTGTTTTTGAAATTCAATTTTACTTGGTAGCAATAAGTTGAAAAATTGTCCTAGCATTAAAAGGAGTAGGACAATACACATTAGAATCCAAAAAATATGAAGGGATACTATAAATACATTTTTCATTTGTGATGGCCCACTTCAGGCTATGCCCCCAAAACCCACAGTGGAGGGCAGATATTCTTCTTACCCCTTTGGAACACTTTAGATGAAATGTTTGAGAAGTATCATGAATGCAGAATAAAACCAAGACTTCTTAGTACAACACTTGCAATTCTCCATCATCTGATTCCTACCTAATTACCTCAACGGTCTCATCCTCTTCCCTCTGTCCCTGTCTGCAACTTGTGATGGTGTAAGCTTGGTGGACCTGCTTGAAAGTAGAAAGTGATAAGTTTGGAGGGAAGTTCAAAAGAATTATTGGAGCCAGCTCATGTTCTTCATGCCACAATAAGACTTACTTCAGTAGACTATGGGGAGCCCCTGAATGTTTTAGGTAGTGGAACATCAGGATCATCTGTAGTTTATAAATAAAAGACTAAGCTACATCATGATACCTCTAGTAACAAAGTGACATATGGATCAAAGACTGGAGGGAAGTCCAGGTGAAAGATGAAATTCTTAACAATTACCAAAGATGATATTCTTAACAATTACTGAAGAGTCAACTGTGGGAATATAAGTGACACTTTTCACTCTAAAGGTTTGAGGTTAAAAACAAAAAATTCAACCACAGCAGGAACTGTGATAATGATTCATTTGGTAAACATCCTGTAGTAGATGTTTCCGATACTCATATTAGTAAAAGCAAGCAAATTCAGTTTTTCTAACCCCAACATATGTTCATTAAAACAAGTGAGACAGATCACAATTGTCTTTTGCACATATTGAGTCCACAATTTCAAAATTGTGTGCTAGTGTCGGGCCTCCTCCACATTGCCTATACACTCTGTTCCCATTGCTTAGAATGCCCTTCTTAGTATGGACCCTATTCCAATTGTGGAACCCTTAACTGCATTTCAAAACCCAGGACAAATGATACCTCCTTAAAGAATGTCCTCTCATGGCCAACAAACATATGAATAAAATGTTCATCATCATTAGTCATTAGAGAAACGCAAATCAAAACCACAATGAGATACCATCTCATGCCAGTTAGAATGGCGACCATTAAAAAGTCAGGAAACAACAGATGCTGGAGAGGATGTGGAGAAGTAGCAATGCTTTTACACTGTTGGGGAGAGTGTAAATTAGCTCAACCATTGTGGAAAACAGTGTGACAATTCCTCAAGGATCTAGAACCAGGAATACCATTTGAACCAGCAATTCCACTACTGGGCATATACCCAAAGGATTATAAATCATCCTACTATAAAGACACATGCACACATATGTTTATTGTAGCACTATTCACAATAGCAAAGACTTAGAACCAACCCAAATGCCCATCAATGATAGACTGAATAAAGAAAATGTGGCACATATACACCATGGAATACTATGCAGCCATAAAAAAAATGAATTCATGTCCTTTGCAGGGACATGGATAAAGCTGGAAACCATCACTCTCAGCAAACTAACACAGGAACAGAAAACCAAACACCGCATGTTCTCACTCATAAGTGGGAGTTGAACAATGAGAACACATGGACACAGGGAGGGGAATATCACACACCGGGGCCTGTCAGGGGTGGGGGACAAGGGGAGGGAGAGCATTAGGACAAATATCTAATGCCTACAGGGCTTAAAACCTAGATGATAGGTTGATAGTGCAGCAACCCACCATGGCACATGTATACCTATGTAACAATCCTGCACGTTCTGCATATGTATCCTAGAACTTAAAGTAAAAGAAAAGAAAAGTGCTCTCACTGCCACCAAATGAAGATTCATCAGGGCTCTGCAGTGGGTGGCAGTGAGAGGCAACTTCCCCGAGTGCCCAGAAATTCTATGTACACGTGGCTCTGATAGCCTCACCTTGCTGTAATATGTCTCTGCATGTTCAGCTCACTTTAGACTGTGAGCTTCTTAAAAATAGGGCCACGCCTTCTTTCCCCTTGTATCCCCAGTATCCTTGGGCAGGATGCTCAAGCCCTACACCTACTAAACAATTGAGAGTTTATTGGATGAGCATATTAAAGAATTAAAACTCACAAAGAAACTAGCCTCATGACTTTGTTACGTCTCATATAAACACGTGTGTGTTGATATCATTTGGCTATGTCCTCACCCAAATCTCATCTTGAATTGTAGCTCCCGTAATTCCCATGTATTGTGGGAGGGACCCAGTGGGAGATAATTGAATCATGGGAATAGTTTCCCACATACTATTCTTGTGGTAGTGAATAAGTCTAATGAGATCTGATGGTTTTATAAGGGGTTTCCTCTTTCACTTGGTTCTCATTCTCTCTCTCCTGCCACCATGTAAGACATGGCTTTTGCCTTCCACCACGATTGTGAGGCCTCCCCAGCCCATGGAACTGTGAGTCCATTAAACCTCTTTTTCTTTATGAATTAATAGGTCACAGATATGTCTTTATCAGCAGCATGAAGACAGACTAATACACATGTCAAAGAAAATTCAGGGACATGTAAACTCATTTCAGAAATAAAAGTCCATCTTACAAGATTAAATCTACCTTCTATAAAATTTGACTATTCAACTGATCTATACTTCCTGTAAGTAGTAACATCATTAACAAACATTTTATGTTTGAGGGGGAATTAAGTAATGATCATGCAAATACAGAACTTTTAAAATTTAACTCTCCAATAACACTCCACAGAGTGGGCAGAAGAGCTTTTAATATTCCTACTTTAAAAATTCGGTACCTGGGGGGAGGAGCCAAGATGGCCAAATAGGAACAGCTCCGGTCTACAGCTCCAAGCGTGAGCGACGCAGAAGACGGTGATTTCTGCATTTCCATCTGAGGTACCGGGTTCATCTCACTACGGAGTGCCAGACAGTGGGCGCAGGTCAGTGGGTGCATGCACCGTGCGCGAGCCGAAGCAGGGCGAGGCATTGCCTCACTTGGGAAGGGGTCAGGGAGTTCCCTTTCTGAGTCAAAGAAAGGGGTGACGGACGGCACCTGGAAAATCGGGTCACTCCCACCCGAATACTGCGCTTTTCCGACGGGCTTAAAAAACGGCGCACCACGAGATTATATCCGGCACCTGGCTTGGAGGGTCCTACGCCCACGGAGTCTCGCTGATTGCTAGCACAGCAGTCTGAGATCAAACTGCAAGGCAGCAGCGGCAGCGAGGCTGGGGGAGGGGCGCCCGCCATTGCCCAGGTTTGATTAGGTAAACAAAGCAGCCCAGAAGCTCGAACTGGGTGGAGCCCACCACAGCTCAAGGAGGCCTGCCTGCCTCTGTAGGCTCCACCTCTGGGGGCAGGGCACAGACAAACAAAAAGACAGCAGTAACCTCTGCAGACTTAAATGTCCCTGTCTGACAGCTTTGAAGAGAGCAGTGGTTCTCCCAGTACGCAGCTGGAGATCTGAGAATGGGCAGACTGCCTCCTCAAGTGGGTCCCTGACCCCTGACCCCCGGGCAGCCTAACTGGGAGGCACCCCCCAGCAGGGGCACACTGACACCTCACATGGCTGGGTACTCCAACAGACCTGCAGCTGAGGGTCCTGTCTGTTAGAAGGAAAACTAACAAACAGAAAGGACATCCACACCAAAAACCCATCTGTACATCACCATCATCAAAGACCAAAAGTAGATAAAACCACAAAGATGGGGAAAAAACAGAGCAGAAACACTGGAAACTCTAAAAAGCAGAGCGCCTCTCCTCCTCCAAAGGAACGCAGTTCCTCACCAGCAACGGAACAAAGCTGGATGGAGAATGACTTTGACGAGCTGAGAGAAGAAGGCTTCAGACGATCAAATTACTCTGAGCTATGGGAGGACATTCAAACCAAAGGCAAAGAAGTTGAAAACTTTGAAAAAAATTTAGAAGAATGTATAACTAGAATAACCAATACAGAGAAGTGCTTAAAGAAGCTGATGGAGCTGAAAACCAAGGCTCGAGAACTACGTGAAGAATGCAGAAGCCTCAGGAGCCGATGCGATCAACTGGAAGAAAGGGTATCAGCAATGGAAGATGAAATGAATGAAATGAAGCGAGAAGGGAAGTTTAGAGAAAAAAGAATAAAAAGAAACGAGCAAAGCCTCCAAGAAATATGGGACTATGTGAAAAGACCAAATCTACGTCTGATTGGTGTACCTGAAAGTGATGGGGAGAATGGAACCAAGTTGGAAAACACTCTGCAGGATATTATCCAGGAGAACTTCCCCAATCTAGCAAGGCAGGCCAACGTTCAGATTCAGGAAATACAGAGAACGCCACAAAGATACTCCTCGAGAAGAGCAACTCCAAGACACATAATTGTCAGATTCACCAAAGTTGAAATGAAGGAAAAAATGTTAAGGGCAGCCAGAGAGAAAGGTCGGGTTACCCTCAAAGGGAAGCCCATCAGACTAACAGCGGATCTCTCGGCAGAAACCCTACAAGCCAGAAGAGAGTGGGGGCCAATATTCAACATTCTTAAAGAAAAGAATTTTCAACCCAGAACTTCATATCCAGCCAAACTAAGCTTCATAAGTGAAGGAAAAATAAAATAATTTACAGACAAGCAAATGCTGAGAGACTTTGTCACCACCAGGCCTGCCTTACAAGAGCTCCTGAAGGAAGCACTAAACATGGAAAAGAACAACCGGTACCAGCCGCTGCAAAATCGTGCCAAAATGTAAAGACCATCGAGACTAGGAAGAAACTGCATCAACTAACGAGCAAAATAACCAGCTAACATCATAATGACAGGATCAAATTCACACATAACACTATTAACTTTAAATGTAAATGGACTAAATGCTCCAATTAAAAGACACAGACTGGCAAATTGGATAAAGAGTCAAGACCCATCAGTGTGCTGTATTCAGGAGACCCATCTCACGTGCAGAGACACACATAGGCTCAAAATAAAAGGATGGAGGAAGATCTACCAAGCAAATGGAAAGCAAAAAAAAAGGCAGGGGTTGCAATCCTAGTCTCTGATAAAACAGACTTTAAACCAACAAAGATCAAAAGAGACAAAGAAGGCCATTACATAATGGTAAAGGGATCAATTCAACAAGAAGAGCTAACTATCCTAAATATATATGCACCCAATACAGGAGCACCAAGATTCATAAAGCAAGTCCTGAGTGACCTACAAAGAGACTTAGACTCCCACACATTAATAATGGGAGACTTTAACACCCCACTGTCAACATTAGACAGATCAACGAGACAGAAAGTCAACAAGGATACCCAGGAATTGAACTCAGCTCTGCACCAAGCAGACCTAATAGACATCTACAGAACTCTCCACCCCAAATCAACAGAATATACATTTTTTTCAGCACCACACCACACCTATTCCAAAATTGACCACATACTGGGAAGTAAAGCTCTCCTCAGCAAATGTAAAAGAACAGAAATTATAACAAACTATCTCTCAGACCACAGTGCAATCAAACTAGGACTCAGGATTAAGAATCTCACTCAAAACGGCTCAACTACATGGAAAATGAACAACCTGCTCCTGAATGACTACTGGGTACATAACGAAATGAAGGCAGAAATAAAGATGTTCTTTGAAACCAACGAGAACAAAGACACAACATACCAGAATCTCTGGGACGCATTCAAAGCAGTGTGTAGAGGGAAATTTATAGCACTAAATGCCCACAAGAGAAAGCAGGAAAGATCCAAAATTGACACCCTAACATCACAAGTAAAAGAACTAGAAAAGCAAGAGCAAACACATTCAAAAGCTAGCAGAAGGCAAGAAATAACTAAAATCAGAGCAGAACTGAAGGAAATAGAGACACAAAAAACCCTTCAAAAAATTAATGAATCCAGGAGCTGGTTTTTTGAAAGGATCAACAAAATTGACAGACCGCTAGCAAGACTAATAAAGAAAAAAAGAGAGAAGAATCAAGTAGACGCAATAAAAAATGATAAAGGGGATATCACCACTGATCCCACAGAAATACAAACTACCATCAGAGAATACTACAAACACCTCTATGCAAATAAACTAGAAAATCTAGAAGAAATGGATAAATTCCTGGACACATACACTCTCCCAAGACTAAACCAGGAAGAAGTTGAATCTCTGAATAGACCAATAACAGGATCTGAAATTGTGGCAATAATCGATAGCTTACCAACCAAAAAGAGTCCAGGACCAGATGGATTCACAGCCGAATTCTACCAGAGGTACAAGGAGGAACTGGTACCATTCCTTCTGAAACTATTCCAATCAATAGAAAAAGAGGGAATCCTCCCTAACTCATTTGATGAGGCCAGCATCATGCTGATACCAAAGCCAGGCAGAGACACAACCAAAAAAGAGAATTTTAGACCAATATCCTTGATGAACATTGATGCAAAAATCCTCAATAAAATACTGGCAAAACGAATCCAGCAGCACATCAAAAAGCTTATCCACCATGATCAAGTGGGCTTCATCCCTGGGATGCAAGGCTGGTTCAATATACACAAATCAATAAATGTAATCCAGCATATAAACAGAGCCAAAGACAAAAACCACATGATTATCTCAATAGATGCAGAAAAAGCTTTTGACAAAATTCAACAACCCTTCATGCTAAAAACTCTCAATAAATTAGGTATTGATGGGACATATTTCAAAATAATAAGAGCTATCTATGACAAACCCACAGCCAATATCATACTGAATGGGCAAAGACTGGAAGCATTCCCTTTGAAAACTGGCACAAGGCAGGGATGCCCTCTCTCACCACTCCTATTCAACATAGTGTTGGAAGTTCTGGCCAGGGCAATCAGGCAGGAGAAGGAAATAAAGGGTATTCAATTAGGAAAAGAGGAAGTCAAATTGTCCCTCTTTGCAGACCACATGATTGTATATCTAGAAAACCCCATTGTCTCAGCCCAAAATCTCCTTAAGCTGATAAGCAACTTCAGCAAAGTCTCAGCATACAAAATGAATGTACAAAAATCACAAGCATTCTTATACACCAACAGACAAACAGAGAGCCAAATCATGAGTGAACTCCCATTCACAATTGCTTCAAAGAGAATAAAATACCTAGGAATCCAACTTACAAGGGATGTGAAGTACCTCTTCAAGGAGAACTACAAACCACTGCTCAAGGAAATAAACGAGGATACAAACAAATGGAAGAACATTCCATGCTCATGGGTAGGAAGAATCAATATCATGAAAATGGCCATACTGCCCAAGGTAATTTACAGATTCAATGCCATCCCCGTCAAGCTACCAATGACTTTCTTCGCAGAATTGGCAAAAACTACTTTAAAGTTCATATGGAACCAAAAAAGAGCCCGCGTCGCCAAATCAATCCTGAGCCAAAAGAACAAAGCTGGAGGCATCACACTACCTGACTTCAAACTATACTACAAGGCTACGGTAACCAAAACAGCATGGTACTTGTACCAAAACAGAGATATAGATCAATGGAACAGAACAGAGCCCTCAGAAATAACGCCGCATATCTACAACTATCTGATCTTTGACAAACCTCAGAAAAACAAGCAATGGGGAAAGGATTCCCTATTTAATAAATGGTGCTGGGAAAACTGGCTAGCCATATGTAGAAAGCTGAAACTGGATCCCTTCCTTACACCTTATACAAAAATCAATTCAAGATGGATTAAAGACTTAAACGTTAGACCTAAAACCATAAAAATCCTAGAAGAAAACCTAGGCATTACCATTCAGGACATAGGCATGGGCAAGGACTTCATGTCTAAAACACCAAAAGCAATGGCAACAAAAGACAAAATTGACAAATGGGATCTAATTAAACTAAAGAGCTTCTGCACAGCAAAAGAAACTACCATCAGAGTGAACAGGCAACCTACAAAATGGGAGAAAATTTTCACAACCTACTCATCTGACAAAGGGCTAATATCCAGAATCTACAATGAACTCAAACAAATTTACAAGAAAAAAACAACCCCATCAAAAAGTGGGCGAAGGACATGAATAGACACTTCTCAAAAGAAGACATTTATGCAGCCAAAAAACACATGAAAAAATGCTCACCATCACTGGCCATCAGAGACATGCAAATCAAAACCACAATGAGATACCATCTCACACCAGTTAGAATGGCAATCATTAAAAAGTCAGGAAACAACAGGTGCTGGAGAGGATGTGGAGAAATAGGAACACTTTTACACTGTTGGTGGGACTGTAAACTAGTTCAACCATTGTGGAAGTCAGTGTGGCGATTCCTCAGGGATCTAGAACTAGAAATACCATTTGACCCAGCCATCCCATTACTGGGTATATACCCAAACGACTATAAATCATGCTGCTATAAAGACACATGCACACGTATGTTTATTGCGGCATTATTCACAATAGCAAAGACTTGGAACCAACCCAAATGTCCAACAATGATAGACTGGATTAAGAAAATGTGGCACATATACACCATGGAATACTATGCAGCCATAAAAAATGATGAGTTCATGTCCTTTGTAGGGACATGGATGAAATTGGAAATCATCATTCTCAGTAAACTATCGCAAGAACAAAAAACCAAACACCGCATATTCTCACTCATAGGTGGGAATTGAACAATGAGAACACATGGACACAGGAAGGGGAACGTCACACTCTGGGGACTGTTGTGGGTTGGGGGAGCGGGGAGGGACAGCATTGGGAGATATACCTAATGCTAGATGACGAGTTAGTGGGTGCAGCGCACCAGCATGGCACATGTATACATATGTAACTAACCTGCACATTGTGCACATGTACCCTAAAACTTAAAGTATAATAAAAAAAAATAAAAATAAAAAAAATAAACTAAAAAAATAAAAAAATTAAAAAATAAAAATTCGGTACCTGAGAATGAAAGTAAATGTGTGTATATCCAAATTCCACTGCTGATCCTCCATTAAGATGCTGTCATATATGTTATTATGAATTTTAATTTAAAACAAAATGCCAGGGTAATAATATTTAAGGAAATGAAAATAAGTTTGCATGGCTTTTTAAATCTACTTTCTGGATATGTCTTACATACTTCAAAGGAGAGAAATACTCCTCATGAAAGTATAGCTTTTGATAATTATAAAAAGCAAGTGTAAATAGAAATAAATTGCTATTAACATATAAAGATCTTATCTCATTTTTCTGTAGTATTTTATTTTTATAGTTAGAGTGAGGGGGAGGCCATCCACAACAGCAGATGTACATATTTTAGTCAAAGATATTTTGTAACTATCTTCTTCTTTGATTTCTCCCCTGTCTATTATAATGAGGAAATTGAGATATTCAATCACTTCATGGCATAAAGCTGTGTGATAAAAAGTAAACTTTTAAAATAAACATAGGGAAGTGCAGAAAATAAATTATAGCACTGATTGAATACTTGCTATACAGAATAACTTAGATAAACTCTTGACACATGTTATCTCATTTAACATAAACCATGTTTTCTGGTTTCCTTACTGGCACCTACTACAAATAGCACCTGCATGTACTTGTTAACGTGAATTTAATGCCTTGGTAATTTATATCAAGTATCCAAACAAGGGCAGTCAAAGCCCAATTTTTGCTTACATCAACGAGGTTACAAACATCATCTATGACCCTCAAACCTCTGGATACATCTGCCTTCACGAGTTGACAAACACTCCCAGAAACTGTCTCATCAAAAACCAGAAAGCAAGTGACCACTGAGTCCATTTTGGTTTCTTGCATCCAGACTGTGTTATGTCACATTTTAAGATAAAAATATATACACATAGAGGATAGATAGTTAGATAGATAGATAGGTAGATAGAGAGTGAGTACTCAGAAGAGGACTTCAGAACTATCTCTAAGATTCTATCATTACATACAGTAAATGTATACCTTTTTATAAATTTTAAATAAAAGAAAAAGACCTTTCCATAAATTCCAAAATATGAGGTATCGATACATATAATGGTCTTCAGCAGGCAAAAGAGATTTGGAAAGAGATCTCCGAAGCTTTTTTTTTTTCCGAATAAGAGGTAAGAGTGGCAAAACCTACAAAATGTAGGTAAGTGAATCTACTGAATGGTCTCCAAATGTATGTATAGCCAAACGAATGAATAACTTGTCCTTCCTTGCATAATGACTTTTCCTTTGCTCCAATACCTTTCTTATTTCTGACTTCATTCTGTTGGTTTTAAAAATATGGACAGCTTTTAAGTGTAGCTTTATACATTAAAGATTGGATATTATCAGTTATTGGACAGGTACAGTGTGTCATACAGTGTTTCATGTGATTTGCAAACATAATCTCATGTAAGTAAGGTAGTCCTTCTTATCCAAGCTTTACAGATGATGAAAATATGGTTCAGAAAAAAATTAAGCCACTTGCTTAGATTCACACAGTTTTTGCAAGTTAGAGTTCAGATTTGAATCCAGGTCTTTCTGATTCTAAAATTTGAATTCTACCCACTGTGTTATGCTGCTTCACAGAGAATCATCTGAACATGCTGTACTGTGTCTTGGGATGCATTTTTATCTATAGGTAATATTTAATGTAGCAGCATTTTTCTATATGTATTCCATGGATGGCACTTATTTTTAATAGACTTTATTTTTTAAGCTGTTTTATGTTTACCAAAAAATTGAACAGGAAGTACTGAGAGTTCCCATCTATCCCCTCCCTACCTGTTATCCTCCTATTATCAACATCTTGCAATACTGTGGTATATTGGTTACAATTAATGAGCCAATACTGATACTTTCATCAGTGTTGTGGTTTTCTTCATATAGAACTTGTAGATATTTTGGTAGATTTATATCAAAGTATGTCATTTTGTTGTTGTTGCTAATGTAAATGGCATTGTGTTTTTTATTTCAAATTCCAATTGTTCATTTCTGGTATATAGAAAGCAAATGATTTTTGTATATTAAGCTTGTATCCCGCAATATTACCATGTTATTTATTGGAATGCCACTTTTTAATATTATTAAACATTCTTATCATATGATGATCTGAAGATGTCCATAAGGTGACAAGTTGCCTTATTATAAAAGACCCTCTGCTCTTTAATTCTAAAAAGTATATTCTAGATTTGAGATTAAAATTATTTCATTCATCTGTCTTCATATAGAATATTTAGTCATCTCGGGGATTTCTACAAACAATTCATGAGTTACTTTTAATTGAATATTATCATGCTTCTCCAAACTACAATGTGTAATTAGAAACAAAGAAATTGTATTTAAGTGTTACAGATTATGAATCTGCATGGGTGAATATGCTTCTGGAAGAACTGGTAACAAAATGACTTTTTTCCATTGCTCGTGAAATACTTGTCCCGAGGCACTCTCGTGTTTTTCTGGCCACGTATATGTGACATAAGCTCCTGTTGGGAGTTTCCCACCACAGGTATGCATTTCAGGGCACATAGTGGATGGAGCAGGTCAGGGCTGCTGGACCATGGAATCAGTATGATCAGAAGGGCCCTGAAGAAGTCGCAAAAAAGTAAAAAGTTCTGGTGTCATCCCATGTAGGCCGACAACAACAAAAAAGTTATAGGTATACAGTGTATCTTTATAAAATAAGATCAGGCCAGGCGCGGTGGCTCACGCTTGTAATCCCAACACTTTGGGAGGCCAAGGTAGGCAGATCACAAGTTCAGGAGATCAAGACCATCCTGGCTAACATGGTGAAATCCTGTCTCTACAAAATACAAAAAATTAGCCAGGCATGGTGGAACGCGCCTGTAGTCCCAGCTACTCGGGAGGCTGAGGCAAGAGAATCACTTGAACCCAGGAGGCGGAGGTTGCAGTGAGCTGAGATCACGCCACTGCACTCCAGCCTGGGCGACAGAGCAAGACTCTGTCTCAGAAAATAATAATAATAATAAATAAATAAGATCAACAAAATTTGATAGGTATAAAGATCACTGTATACCTATCACTTTTTTGTTGTTGTCAACCTACATGGGATGGCCCAACACTTTTTTGTTGTTGTTGACCTACGTGGGACCACATAATTATCAAGATAGAAATAGAAAAGCTATTCAAAATGTACTTCAATGTCATATACAGTGTATATTTATCACTTTCTTAAAAGCTTGGGACAGTGTATAAAATTACTTTTGTTGATATAGTTTCAATTTTCAGAGTGTAAAAACTGTCAAACCTAGATAAGACACTCTACTTTGAATGTAAAGTAAATTTCTAAAAAGTACTTATCCTTTTTTAGGTTTAGATAATTATTTAGAGGTGTGAGAGCATGGAAAAAGATATGACAAGAACAAGACAGTTTCTTATAGTAATCTGGTTCAAGAAATAATACAAACATATATGAATGAATAAATTATCAAGGTCAAATTAATGTAGCAGAAACTGAGACTGCCAAATGGACATACAAGAGAGTCAGCCGCAAAGGATCATGAAAGTTTACATGACCACAGTTATCAATTTGGAAATAGAAAATCTATTTAAAATGTACTTAAATATCATATTAATCTTCTATACACTTCAGAGAGGTGGAGTTTCATTGTTGCTGTTGTTACTAGTGTTTTTGTTGAATAACCCATTCTTTAGGAAGCACATAATGAAATTAACTCTGACTCCCTCCTTCTTCCCACACTGTCCCACAACCTCTTCCTCTGCCAGCAAGACTTGGAAGGAAGATGATTGTTTACAAGGGAAGGTAGATTAGTTTATGTTACTCCCAGATCTTGTTACACCATGAAATCATATAGTAAACATAGCTTCTAGAATTTTAACTTCCATATGTTATATTATCAATTCAGACCCCCCAAAACTAAATTTCTTTGAATATCTAATTTTAATAGGTTAGATGCTCTCTGCCAATTTTTCTCCTTAATATACAAACCTAACATGATAATAAAAACCAATAACAAAATCAGAGGCTTCCTAGACAGTAGCCCATCTTCATTTCCAGGTTAAAGATTTTGGTTGAGACTATTTGCAAGCATATAATAATAATTCCTGTGCAAGAGAGTCTCTATTGAATGATACGTACTCTGAAGATGGTATGAAGGAAAGAGGCTCTTAGGAAGATCCAAGCTGGCTGCCAAGCTTCCATATCCACTTCAAGGTTTCCTGTAATATTAAATGCTTGGCCTTCACAGAAGATATTTCCAAAGACAACATATACATTATGTTGTATATGTTGGGATAGTCAGGGCTGGAGGCTCCCAAACTTGTATATGAAACATGACATAACAGAAAGAGCAGGCTATTTGGAGGGAGAAGGTTGGGTTCAAGCCCAAGCCCTCAATCTCATTGACACTGCAAACAGGGACATCACTTAACTTCTACGGGTCCAGTTCACAAGTCTGCCTTACCTCTCTAGATAATAGTTTTGTTTTATCAAATCAAATGATGTGAAAGTAAGAACAAAAGAAGACATTGGTAAGATATTCAAGAGGTTAAAAGAGGATGTGGTAAGTGATTACCATATTTCTCCCTCCTCTTTCTTCTCTTAGTTTTAACTGCTTAGCAAAATATTTACTGAGTGCCTGCTAAGTTTCAGCGATAAGCCCTGGAGATACAGAGGGAAAAAAAAAAATGACATGGTCCCTGACCTGAAGTAGCCAAGGAGTGACATTTACCTGACTTTACTTTTATAAGGATCACTGTGGTTACTACATTGAGCATACATGACAGGCAGATGACGATGCAAGCAGAGATACTTGGTTTATACACTACTGTATCATTTCAGGCAAAAAAAAAAAAAAGGTAGCAGCTTGTACAAGGGTGGTAGTAGCGAAAGTACTGAGGATTCAACTAAGATGAGGACCAATGACTAAGCTTTGGATTTAACACAGCAAAAAGATATTCAGTGTTCTTGAAGCACAGACAACGTTTAATGAAAACTAGGAGATCAACAGAGGGTTACTCATAACAGAATGAAAATTCCATGAGGCACATTGGAAAGAATTGGAAGGGAGGTCAACAGGAGATGGAAGCATAGGAGAGAAACAAGCACCAGGTTTAGAGAAGCTTGCTTCTGGGGCAATAGATAAACACTTGATAGTCGTGCATGCACAGAATTCTGTGCAGTTGGCCCAACAAGGGTGTGGTGCCTCGGGGTAGAATTCATCCCGAGTACGTGAGGAGACAATCCTCTGCCTCCATAGTTGCTCACTTTCATGCAAAACCAGCTGTTACCCATTTGGTTGGGGAACTGAGGTAAACATAGTGGAACTGAAGAGGATTGGAGTGGAGTAGCAGAGTCCTAGCCCTTGAATAGAATTTTTGCCAGGTAATTGATGAGAGTGTGGATGAGCACAATTATACCTATTATTTATTGGGTACATACTCTGTGTCTGCCATGCTTAATCTTCACCACAGAAAACTTAAAGATACGTGTATTAGTCCATTCTCACGCTGCTATAAAGAACTGCCCAAGACTGGGTAGTTTGTAAAGGAAAGAGGTTTAACTGACTCACAGTTCTGCAGGGCTGGGGAGGCCTCAGGAAACTTACAATCATGTCCTTCTTCACGTGGCAGCAGGAAGGAGAAGAATGAAAGTCAAGTGAAGGGGGAAGCTCCTTATAAAACCATATGATCTCGTGAGAACTTACTATCACAAGAATAGCATCAGGGGAACTGCCCCCATGATTCAATTACCTCCGACCAGGTCCCTCCCAACACACATGGGGATTATGGGAACTACAATTTAAGATGAGATTTGGGTGGGGACACAGCCAAATCATATCATGTGTTATCATCTCATTCTAAAAATGAGAAAAGTACAGCTCAGAGAAACTAAGTAATGTACCTCATCTACCCATCTTCACACAGTTAAGTGACAGCATTAGGATTTGAATCTCTCCCTCTTTCCATTTTGCTTTGAAGAGCCAAGGAAACATGTCACATTTTAGAAGATAAGGAGTTAGGATTAGGTGGAAACACAACATTGGTAACACTGGGGAGACGGGACTGAAATAGTCTGTATAAGAAGCAGAACTGACTTAGGGTCAGCTGAGGTTTTTGGCCTTCCAAACCAATCCTTGTAGCTTATTCCGGTGCAGGCCTTGGTTGTTAGTGGCTCCTGGGCTGCCCCACAGTACCTATGAAAAAATGGAAAGGAACAGTTACCTTCTAATTTTTCCAACCTAAAAGAAGTAGTTAGTATTTTAGATAACTTTCCAAGTGTTGGTATAAGTGAATAGTTTTCTTTAATTAAGACTATCTCATAAACTCTTACCTTTTCCAAATTCTCACCCTTTCAAGTCTGACAGGAATAAAAACTGTTGTTACCATGCATCACCGTCACCAGAGCTTCCTTACTTTTTACAAGCAGCTGAGCACACCATGGGGCTGAGGAAAGTACAGAATTGTTGCCAAGTGCAGGTAGAACTCGTGAACCTGGCATGTTCAAAACCACGAATAATAAATACAGGAGTCAAAGGACTTGTTTTTGGCCAGGATTTAACTCTTTAGGAATGTATTCTTCAAAATATTTAGGGACACATTGCTTATTATGTATTTTTATCTTGGTTCAAAGCTTTCATTCCTAACGACTATCCCCCTTATAATTTCACACAAAAGTGACATATACATAACTTTGATGATTTGCTCCAAGAATCAAAAAGCCAGAGAAATGGCAACATAATTATATTTGCTCAATATCCAGTACTATCCCAACTCACAACTCTAAAAGGGCATGTTTCCTTGTTTGTCTTACTGTTTAAGGTAGTCAGCACCATTACAAGTTTCAGCATATAAATTAATAGAACACAAAGATCCACTGTATTTAACTTTGATTGGCTTCATGTACTGAGGGTTCTTAGTATTTGGTGATGTAGATTCCAATGGTATTAACATTATTCCCTAAGCTTGGAGCAGCAGTGTTTGATTTCCTTCATTTTTCTGGTGTGTTTTTTTTTTCAATTTAATGAAGACCATGCAAATTGATAAAACACTAGCATTTAATCTTTACTTTTTTTTTAAAGAAAAATACATTAGGGGACATAAATAAACTGTGACACAAATAAACTTCTTTTTATCCAGTGTCCTGACTTGGGGGTCCAGTTTCAATTTCAAGTATTCTGTCCCATCGTTTCCATTTAAGTCACATCAGATTGTCATAATATACATCCAAGTTTTGAATTCAGACAATATAGATATCACAGTATGGGTAAAAAGAGCCACTGATTTGGAATCAGACAAGTTAAATTCTCATTTAAGCTCTGCTACTGATTTCTGTGGGACCTTGAAAAGGGGACTTAACATTTCTAAGCTTAATATTTCCTTACTCACAAAGTGATGCAACTGGTCTAGGCGACCTCAAAATTCCATTCTATTCTAAAATCTTATGAATATGTAATATTTTATAGGAAAATAGTGTATAAATATTATTTCAATGATTAAAGATATAGAACCTATTATTTTAAAACCTAACATGTCCAGCTCTCATTGGTTTGCTTTTTCAAAATATATTATTTTCATTCCACTTTAATTCATGACTTTTTTACAAGTTAAGTCTTGAATTGTTTCTACTATATAATATAGTTTCAGATTTTTTAACATACGGTGCAGAAAGTTTGCTCTACAGCAAAATGTAGAAGAGGAAGATAATATTCCTCAGACATAGATAGTTCTGAAGCTCATCCAAGTAGACAGGTAAAATAAACTTTGGGAGAAGAAAACCGACATTTAAAATTGGTAAAGATACAAGTATTTTCGCAGAAATAACATCTTATATTTCCACAGCAATCTGTCTCCTTTTCTTTCTCCCAAACACAAGAAAAAGGCATTTCAAGTTACTGATTAACTTAAACATACTGATCTTTGGCTCGTCTAAGGTCCACGAAAGTTGACTAAACATTCTTCTACCAAAGAGAAAAACTAGAAAATTGAAAACATTTCTTAAAAAATTATATTATCTGTTATCCTGATATATCAACCCAAAACCTCATTTGGTTGGACTATGTTTTTATTTGTTCTTTTTGCCAGAGAAATCGGGAACTTCTAAAGGAATTATTTTCTTAAATATAAAACTAGGTTTTTGTTATCACAATAAACTCTATGTTTCCATGAATTGCCCACTTTCTCCTAATATTTTCCACTTTAGAATGAGAAGCCTAGGTTTGTGCAGAGCTGATTCTATAACCACGGGGATTCTTATGTATTGTTTGCTAAGCCTATGTATGGAGGTAAAAGAGTTAAACCTTTAAGCAAGGAGCCATTTTGACTAAAAATAGAAAAAACTTTGGCCAAGGAATCAAAATGAATACACCACTGAAAATAAGTTATTATATGTGACTTTACAATATTAAAGAGGAAAAAAATATGAAGAGACGTAGAAAATTTATCTACTATTATTGCACAACCACTCTGTAAGAGGCTGCATGATTCAATTTGGGGTGATACAAAAATGAACAAGACAGGCCTTTTCTCCAAGAGTTTATGTGATATTAACCACAAACACACTCATTGAAGGCAAAATGTGGTTTAATCCTGTGACAGGGGTACAACACTCTGCAGGAGTCCAGATTGCTGATATTTGAGCCATCCTTGAGATTAAGAGGATTGTGACAAGAATAGACAGATAGGAAGAATATTCTGGGTAGAAGGAACAAAAGCACTGTCACAGGCGATGAAGAGAGCCATGTTTGAGGAAAGGCAAGTGATGCTACCCATGTAGGGTGTATTGGAAATAAAAGAGTCAAAGAAAAATAATATTAATGGGAAGTGGCTTAAAGGATTTGTTAACAAAACAGTGAAGAAACATGACGAAACCAGTGCTTAATTAAGACAAAGAGTCTGAGCAGTATGCAGAAAACCTTGGAGTGGGGAAGACTGGAGGCAAAGAAATCTGTTAGGAGACTCTTTCACTGGGACTGTGGGTACACTGGGAAACAAACAAATGACTACTATGGTTTCTCAATCCCTACTAGTCTAGAAGGAGAGGGAGTCTGCTATATGTAACGTATGGTATCAGGGCAGAATGTTGAGGAATGAAAGTTAGGGTACCTTTCCCAGTTTAGCTGGAGAAACATAGCGTTAATAATTATCATAGAGCAATCTTCTGGCTTAATTGCAAAAGTATGTGCAGACTCATTTTGATACACTATGGAAAGAGTGTATGAGAAAAAAATTCACAATTTTCTTTAAAGCATATTGAAGGCAGATAGAAGATAAACTAGGATATGGGTTGGGTTGATTTTTTTAACTGAAGGCCATAGCTTCTATAATGATCTATTTGTTAATGTTTACCAAAACTCCATCCCTTGTCTTTCTGCCCAGCAGAGATTCATATTTTGTACCGCCTAATGGGCATGCCCACATGGATGTCCCACAAACTTGTTAAATGAACACATCCAAGATCAAGCACATCTTCCCCTCTCTGCTAACCTATTCCCTTACTGTCTTTCAAGATTCATTCAGTCTCCCAAGCCAGAAATTCCAAAGACACCTTCTATTTCTTTTTCATCCTGGAACTGTCTAGCCAAACCATTAGCAAGTCCTGCCCATTCTTGCTCAGAAACTTCTCTTGGAATTGTCGCCTCCTCTCCTTCCCAAGTCACTGTCTTTTCTTATTTCAGATTTCCATCAATTCTCACCTGGATTATTACATTTGTTTTCTATCTAATCTTATTGTATTTGTCTCCTCGAGGCCATCCTCTACACAGCTCCCAAATTAACTTCCTTTAAAAAAAGCTATTTCCACCATTTATCTGCTTAAAATTTTAGATATCTACATCTTACCTGGAAAACAAAACTCAAACTCCTGGGTAGAGCATGAAAGGGCATTTTAAATGTGCCCACAGTACACCTTTCCAGCAGCAATTCCACATTTCCCCATCTTCAGTCGCATTGACTTTATCACTGCTATGGTTTGTCACTGTAGAAAAGTATCCTTCCCTGACCATTGCATATGCTATTCACTATGTCTCACATGCCCTCTTTCCTCTTCTTAGACTGGACATCTTTTCATCCTTCAAGACACATATGAAAAAATCACTTTTTCTCTCCCTAACTGGACCTGACAAAATTACTTTCTCCCTATATCCATAGAGCACATTGTTTCTACCTTTATTTTTGCATTTACTCCCATTTTATTGTAACTTTATCTGTTTGTACGTCAGAGCTCTTTCAATTGGCAACAAAATTACCAAGGGTAAAGGCTGGATCTCACTGACCTTTTTATCTCCCATGTCTCTAATTAGCCTGGTAAATGGCATGTGTTCAATAAATGAATGACTGATTATCACTATTGGATACTATACAAATAAGTAATTACCCTTTAGGAATAATCGCAATGTAGGCCAAGACTACACACAATACTTCTTGGAGAAGAGGTAGGAAATAAATCTCATGGAGATTTAGAGATTTATCTGCAAGGAATATTTTGAAAGAAAACATAACTGTCCTCATTAACAGCATAGCTTTGATAGCAAACAGCTAACGTCCTTAAGGTAGTGTGAAATCAAAACTCTGCTTGTAAAAGAGAAATTAGGGAAATTGGCATTCTAGTCTTGAGTATCTTCTTCGTAGAGGTGGTAATTGAAGCTTTGGAATAGGATGATGATATCAAGGGATCAGGTGTAGGGAGAGAAGGCTACATACATAATCCATGTTGACTCTCAAATTCTTCCTGAAGATGCTGCAGTTAAAACATTCCTGTATCTGAGTATGGGTAGTGTTATGTTTTAGCTTTTGCTTAATTCTGTTATGTTATGTCATTGATAATCTCTAATTTGTATGCAATCAAGGAGAAAGCCATTTAGTAGTAAGAATGCTTTCAGCTGATTAAAAGTTCCAATTTTTCTGGGCATCCTGTTCAAATAAAGGGCAAATTTGAAGACAACATCAAAATGCACTACCTTTTCTGTTTTATGCACTTCCCTTCTTTTCCCTTTCACTTGAGCAAGTAATAATGCAGATTAAAATTACCTGCCAATTCTTGAAATGGTTTTCCTGATGAAGTTAAATTGACATTTTGGCATGCTTGGTAAAATTACAACAATATCCATCTTATATTTAATATGTTCTTTATAATTTTTAGTCATTATACTACTTATTAAGAACTGGTTATAAGACAGTTTGAGAGGAAGAAAATGCTAGAAACTCAAAACAACAAAGCATTTCCACTGTTAGAGAGCTTTTTCATATGTTATGTTCCAAATTACCTAATGGAGATTTAAAACATTCAATTCCAAGCAATTATATGCTACAACGTATGTAATAAAACTGAGGAAGAGCTCAAATGCTAGGGAAATGGAAGAAAGAACATTTCCTCTTTTATAAAATCTCCATTATTTAGCATCAATTAATCACATCGTAGAGTATAATAGATTGGTTGGTGGGTTGGTTGGTTGATGGGCTGGCTTAATTGTTAAATTTTTTCCATATAGAAAGTTAGAAGATCCTGGATGTCATAGATATCACCAGCCTGGGTGTAAGAAATCCTAGAATAGAGGATCTGAGGATGTAGGAAACATGTTTGTATTAATCCCAGAAGGTAGCCCAGGGCCTGCAGTCATTTCCTCTTTGAACAAATAAAATAATGAATAAATGGTCAAACCTCTTTATATTTCTGCAGATGATCAATAGAAATGTTGATCCCATTGAGCCATCAACACATTAGTGCGTATATTGGAAATCACATGAGGTAGGATGACAGCATCTGTGGAAACATGATATCATCCTTATGAAGGATTCTCTAACTTGAACAAAAGGGCAGAGTCACTAGGGAAGATTTTGTTTTTTAGGGGAAATACACAATAGGAGAAGCAGATAGGAGGGCCAGCTAATGTTTCAGTTCTCCATTACATAGATTCTCCCTTCTAGCAAATGAATGGATTGGCCTAAGAAACAAGATACTGACTTTCTCCACTTCACAAATGGCAAAATATAGGAAAGTTAAAGCAAGTGAAATATGTGCTTGTGAATAATACAGACATGATGACTGATGATCAAACCCATGGGGCTATGGAAGCCACCCAGATAGTCACACACAACTAGGACCATTACAGCAGAGCCAGCAGCATAAAGGCAAAACTCCAAAGTTGAAAGAAAAGGGGGAAAATTACTGATATTGATCCAATAGAAATATGTTAATATTGATGCAGTTCAGCCTTGATTTCCCAACACATAAGTGGTGGGAACTGACTGCCCTGAGCTTTTTGGACCACAGGGAAGTCCACTTTCCATCTCTATTCCATTCAGGTCATATCCCTGGGAAGACTCCCCTGGGTCCCAGAGACAGTTCAATGGCAAGCTCTTTAGCCCTGAATGTAGCAGAGTATCCTTTACCATACTTGTCCCATCATCTGGGAGCTGTCTTGTGGTAATGGAGAAGATCTGGGAAATCCAGAGTAAATGAAGACAAAAGCGTTTGAACTATGCTGGGACACATAAACTGTACTAGAAGTCTAAAAACAATAGATGGGGGTTCTCAGTAGATTTTCACAAAAGTTCTACTCATAAACTCCCAGATATTATTTGCAGCATGTATGGTTTCACCATCTACATACAAAGTCACGCTCTGCAATGGAAGAGTCCGATTGTGTATTGTTAAAACCACAAAGGAAGAAAATTGAGCTATTTACAATACTATTGTTTACTCATAAAATAAGTTACCCTTCCTCCCCGTTTTCCATCCAGAACATCCTAGCCAACTAAATTAAGCCATTTTGAAATTTGAAAGCGCCACAAAAAGGATCCAGATGTTTACAGAAGGGAAAAGGGTGAGGGTATTATGTGCTTATTTTCTTCTTTTTTTGGCTCATTTGATTCAAAGTACTTTGTTTTTTAAATCAACAAGGGTTAGCAATTTCTTTTCTAAGTCTTACTAAGAATGTTATTTCTAAAAAGTGGATTTGTTTTTATTAAATTCAGTTGTTGATTCATTCCACTATTGTTTGAGTTTGTATTTGGTGCCAGGCACTGTACTAGGTTCTGAAACTATTTTAAGGAACAATACCAACTTGATCACTTCTCATGAAATAACATTATTGTTCCCTTTTAGTTAGTTATAAATAAATTTGACCACTTTGGAAAAAGTGAAAAATTTATACATTATTATTTTATTTAGGCTATTAAATTAACTATTTGAGTGAACACCAAATATCTCCCAGGTTATCTGAAAACGTAATGCACTTATAATTAAAATTCTATTATGACTGTTTCAGCATTGTCCACTGATTCTAAAGCTTTTTTGGAAGAATAAGAGCTGGCACCTAATTAACCTATTTTAAAAAGGTAAAATAAGGGGAATAAAGTTGGTCTGTAGATAACAAAAGACAACACAAACTTTTAGTAATTAAAGGAGTATAGTAGTGATATAGGCCCTGATGACTAGATCAATAAATAGAAATAAATATCCCAGAAACACACTCATGTGCTTTTTGTAAAAGACTGTGGAATTCACATGTTTACTCTGCTCCTTCCCATGGAACTTACCAAAACATCTGAAAATCAAAACCATAAACTATTTTTCAAACTGAAAATACAGACATTTGCTTTCACCCTGAGGAGAATGCCAAATGTTAATTCACTGCCATCCAGAACTTGGTTGAAGTATAGATTCCTCTGAAAGAAAATTAGAGTGCCCCAAGAGGCTAACCACATTTCTATTTTATTTACTCAAACTACAAGAATTGGGATCATGGCTGTGGAAGGGAGAACGTGAGGGTCAAATTCAACACTGACAAGTGGTGGGAGGATAACTGAAATACCTACGTAGACATTCATCTTTACCATCTAGCTCCTCTCACTCAACTATTCAGTACTGGAGAAATGGCTTTCAGGTGTGGTAGGGTAAAGGGAAGGAAACCAGCCAGCAGAGTTCATTGAGCAAAGATAAATTGCCACATAAATGACCTATGAACTAGAGGGCTGCACCATGGACTGTGCTGTCTTCTTGCCTGTATGATCTGCCCATCCCAAAATGTGAGCTTCTAAGGTCCTCACACAGAGTAGACTTTGGTAGGAAATTGCCCTAAAACAACAAACCCAAACTAAAGCTTCAGTTTCCCAAGATCATGCACCCCTCAGGTGATGGTAGCAGATAAAACTGCCTCTCTTCAAATTGCATATTAACTCCACTTAAATATAAAAGGAAGTCATATAAATTGGGTCTAATAAGCAATTATAAAATAGCATGTCAGTGTTACAGAGCAAGAGAATGTAAAAATAACAAAGAAAAAATAGAGTAATAGAAATATGTAAGGAGGCATAATTGTGCTAATTTCTTCATTTTTATGTTAGAGAATTAATGATGCCCTCTAAAGTTAATATTAAGGAAATTAGATCTACATTAATTATTTGGTGTCATAGAAGTAAAACTAAAGGTAAGAATATGGGCTACAGAAATTCCAAGTGACCCAAAAAGAGGTGAGAAAGGGACTCAAAAGAAAAAAAAATACATAGACCAGATAACAAAAAATAGAAAACATAGGAAGCATTAAAAACATAAAGTATAACCTTATTTTTAAAAAAGACTAAGTGATGGCTGGGCGCGGTGGCTCACGCCTGTAATCCCAGCACTTTGGGAGGCCAAGGCGGGCGGATGACGAGGTCAGGAGATCGAGACCATCCTGGCTAACACAGTGAAACCCCGTCTCTACGAAAAATACAAAAAATTAGCCGGGCGTGGTGGCGGCGGTGCTTGTAGTCCCAGCTACTCCGCAGGCTGAGGCAGGAGAATGGCGTGAACCCGGGAGGCGGAGCTTGCAGTGAGCCGAGATAGCACCACTGCACTCCAGCCTGGGGCGACAGAGCCAGACTCTGTCTCAAAAAAAAAAAAAAACAAACAAGCAAACAAAAAAGACTAAGTGATATATATGTTTTCATAAATGGCAGGCTAGACAAATCAGAACAACTGAAAAATTGAGATGAAATATTTTAAATCATCTGATGAAGACATTATATATACACAATGGAATGCTATTCGGCGTTTAAAAAGAAGAAAATCCTGTCATTTGAGTCAATGTGAATAAATCTGGAGGACAATCTGTTAAGTGAAATAAGCCAGGCACAGAAACACAAATACCTCATGATCTTATATGTGGAGTGCAAAAAATCGATTTCATAGAAGCAGAGAGGAGAATGGTGGTTGCCAAGGGCTAGGGTTGGGTAGACCAGGGAGATGTTGATCGAAAGACGCAAAATTTCATTTAGGAGGAATGAGTTCAAGAGATCTGTTGTACATCATGCTGATGATGGTTTACAACATTATACTGTACATTTGAAAATAACTAAAAAGAGTAGATTTCAAGTGTTTGCCACAAAAAATGATAGGTATGTGAGCTAATGCCTATGTCAAGTAACTTGATTTCACCATTCCACTTTGTATACATATATCAAAACATCATGTACATAAATATATACAATTTTTACTTGTCAATTAAAACAATAAATAAAATCACTGCTTTAGAAATTAATTAATTAAGACAAAGACTCAAAAATTTTAAAGCATCCTCTTAACAGCTTTGGGAAGATAATAGGATAGTGCCTTATTTTCAAGACAAAAATCTACAATGTGAAAATCCGATGAAGTAAGGAAAGCATTTAAAGCCATTATTCTATACTATAATCAAAATTAATAACTTAAAACATGAATTTAACAGCAACTGGGACATAATTAAAGAAACCATTGCTAGCATATAAGTTTCACTAAAAGAGATTACCAAAACAATGCACAAAAAGGCAAAAAGTAGGAAAATACAGAAGAAAAAATCATGGAAGTTATGCAAGAAGTTTCCAGAAGAGGAAAAAGTCGAAGCAGATGCAATATTTTAAGAGATAATGACTAAGACATTTCCAAAACTAATTAAACACATTAGACTTTTAAAGGTTAAAAAAATCCTAAAATTATTGTTTTAAAAGAAAAGAAGTTTTAAAAGAAAAGAAACTTACACCTGGACACATTTGAGCACAACTGCAGAAAACCAAAGGCAAAGAAGTTTTCGAAGCAGCTAAGAAAAACAGATTACCTTCAAACAACAACAATTACACTGACAGCTGACTCCTCAACACCAGCAATCTTAGAAGACCACGGAATGTTTCCTTCAATGGGCTAATGTGAATTCTATGCACAGCAGAAATACCATTCAAGAATAAGTTTGAGCTAAAGACATTTTTAGAAAGAAAGTAATAAGACCCACATTAAAGAAATTATTTCTTAAACAATTTTTTAAACTTTTTTCTAAAAAAATTTTTTAGTGTTTTAAATAGAATATACTCACCCACAGTTCCTGTAACTCCAATCTTAGGAATGTATCTCAAATAGGACAAGCATAAAAAGATGTACATACAAGGTATATGAATTGCTTATTTTTTCAAAAATTTGAAAGCAAGCAAAATGTACATCAATAGGAGATTATTGAAATGAAATATGATGCATTCATAGTTTGTATTAAGAGGATTATACAGGTCTTTTATACTCACATGGAAATATAGTCTCAGAATTACAATAAGTAGAAAAAAGAAAAAGTAAAAAGCATCTCATGGGTCATTATGTTTCATGTGGTCCAATATGGGTTAAAATTTACAAATCTCAGCCGGGCATGGTGGCTCATGCCTGTAATCCCAGCACTTTGGGAGGTCAAGGCAGGATGATCACTTAAGGTCGGGAGTTCAGGACCAGCCTGGCCAATGTGGTGAAACCTTGTCTCTACAAAAATACACAAATTAGCTAGGCAAGGTGGTGTGCACCTGTAGTCCCAGCTACTTGGGAGGCTGAGGCAGGAGAATCACTTGAACCCAGAGATGGAGCAGTGAGCTGAGGTCACCCCACTGCCCTCCAGCCTGAGTGACAAAGCGAGGCTCCATCTCAAAAAAAAAAAAAAAAACTCTTATTTTTATAAGTTTACATCCAGAAAAGTCAAGAAGCGTATGCATGTAGTCATGATTCCTGGGGTGTGGTATAAGGGGATATTTTCATATTCTCTGTTTTATTTGTATTTTTTACCATCATAATTTTTGATTGGAAAAACAAAAGCTTTTAAGAAGAATCTCATATTTATTGAGACTTTACCATAAAATTATATTTATCCAGCTAACATCATTATGTTAGACTCGTTATCTCATTTGGTTAGGCCATGGTGTTAATGAAGCCTACCCTGAAGTTTTGTTTCCTGTGTAGGTCAATTAGCTCTGCACAGAAAACAAAATGACTCGTTTGTGCATTATCTATTCCCCCAAGGAGCCAGGCTTTCAAGTTTACCTGAGTTCGATGGCAAGAGACATTGCTTGGATGTTGCACAGCATAGAAAATGGAAAAATCAACTCAAACCATGTGAACCTGGGAGGTGCTGGAGGGTGCGGAGCGGGGGCAGTTAGTATGTCTTTCACCTGCAAAGAATGACTCATATCTTACTCTCTTTGAAGGATCTACCTTTGTTTTTCCCAGACAACCGCATTTCCCAGATTTCGTTAGTTAAATCAAAACAAAACTGCACTAATCAAGAAACTCTCATTTCTCGGCACTCCCTTTTCATTTGCCTTATTGTTCCCCACCTTCTCTGATTCAGAGTATGTCCCCCTTTTTCCTATTTTCATTCTAATAATAAAACCTCAAGAGATGGGGACTGACCAAACTACTATCTATTGCCTCAAGAAGGCATTCTAATCTTTTCAGTTCTGGTGAGGAGCATCAGCAATTTGGAGATTTGAGTCTCACAATTTTTTTAAGGCTTGCAGTTTTGCTTCTCAACTTTGCAGCAAGTATAATAAAACCTGGTAACATTTTTTGGCCGCTTGTCTCATATACAGCCTGCCATATAAGCCCACAGCTTCATTCCAATCTGAATATATCACTGTCCATTTACAACCAGAGCCATGGAAGGAATTTGAGCAGCTTGTTGGATTGTTTATATTGAATATATGGAAGAGTTGGGGTTATACATTCCAGCACATCATTGTAAGTGATGTACTATGTAAAATTCTAAACAAGTCATCTCACAATTCTTGAAAGAATATCTAGCATATGAATACATTGTAAGGAGAAACAGATCTTGTAGCATTCTCCATGTTTCTTTTGCAACATGTTCATGGGCTTTGTTTTTGTTTGTTTGTTTTGTTTTTTTGAGACGGAGTCTCACTCTGTCGCCCAGGCTGGAGTGCGGTGGCGCAATCTCGGCTCACTGCAACCTCCGCCTCCCAGGTTCAAGCAATTCTCCTGCCTCAGCCTCCTGAGTAGCTGGGATAACAGGTGCACACCACCACGCCCGGCTAATTTTTGTATTTTTAGTAGAGATGGGCTTTCACCATGTTGGCCAGGCTGGTCTTGAACTTCTGACCTCGTGATCTGCCTGCCTTTGCCTCCCAAAGTGCTAGGATTGCAGTCATGAGCCACCGCGCCCAGCCTGTAGTGGGCCTTTGTGTTAGCAATTAATAATGTTTTAGTTCTCTTTATATTGTGGAGGACATTTTATACTTTTAAAATAGTTGTACTACCAGTAGTGTCTGTAGAGAAGTATTTCTTTATAAAAAAAAAAAAAAGTCATCTATTATGCCACAATGAATGAGGTACACAATCTCTTCAATTGTCCTCTGAATGGGTTTCTTATTTCTATGTGGAATTTCATGTCACACAGTGTCCTGTAAATAAACATTAAAGTCCACCCTTTTCTTTACTTCAAAAAAAAGAATCATCTAACATTTAATGTTCTGATAACCAAGGAAAGAATAGATAAGGTCCCAGAAATTTATGATTTGAGTTTTTCTTTTAGAAATCCCTAGATATGTGTGTATATAAAAGGGAGTCTATTTTTAAAAATAAAAACACAAAAAAGAAATTGCTAGATGTTTTCTCCTGGGGGATATGGAAGAAATATGTGTTAAATAAAATAATTCTCAAGATTTTTTATATATAGGCCGACTCTTAACTTGATAATTAATATAAAGTCATAAATTTCCATAGAAAACTACTTCAGAGGTAGAAGTGCTGAAAAGAAATTCATTGTCAATAAATCACATTTAATTTTGAAACTCTCCTTCCCGTCAAGGTAGGTTAAGACTTCTTGCTACAGAGGATGTTAATTAGGGTGAACATAGATTCCAGTTTCTGAAACAGTCCTAGTTGATTTAAGCCTCTTGGCCCTGTGCATCTATTAATTGCACTCCTTTTTGCTTTTAGCAGTTTGAAACTTCTAATTTTAATAGTTCAGTCACTCCTTTTCATATATTTCTCTTCATTATGTCTCCTGATGTAAACTTCTCTTAGAAATCGAGAATAAATGAAGAATTGAAGAACGCAGAAGCACTATCCTTATCTACCCTGGTCCTTCACCCAGGACACCGGCCAAGGCTCACTCAGGGCTACCATGCTGCCCAATTTTCAGGGATGCCGTCCTCATCAGAATCTCTATGGGCGGTGCTCTCCTTCCTCTTATTGTACCTACGCTGTTGTACATTAACCTGTGGCCAATTTTTTTGTACATTACCCTGTGGCCAATGAAACACTTGAATATTTAAACCTAACCCCACTGAAATTAGTTTAAAATTTTAGATCTAACCACACTGAAATTAGGTTCTCTTCTGTTTGTGTGTGTGTGGGTATTTAAACTTTAAAAAGACTTTTTAAAAGTTTTTTTAACAAAAAGAGAGTGGCAAGGACTTAAAAGTGGAAACGTGATTTCAAATATGGGAGAGATAAAAAGAATTTGAAAGAGTTAGTGGAGTATAGAAAGGTGAATGCCAAGTGCCAAAAGGGAGCCTGCCTGGCAATCCCAGATGGGCTCATTACCTGAATGTGCCCCTTACTACAAAGGAGAGTGGAAGGGGCTCTTGTGTTCATTCCTGAAAGCATGTATGTTGCACTCCATATTCTCTCTACATTCTGGAACACCATGGTGCCTTCCCTAGCCTGTTCTAGCAGAAGCAGAAAATGCTCCAGATTCATGGACACCAGAAACATGGAAAGAAGAAAAGAGATGCTGAAGTGAAAATAGAGGGATAATTAAAAGTCTACACTCAGGACAGTGGGACACCTCCCCACAACCTTTCTGTGTTCCTCAATTCCAAGAACACTAGCCACCAGGCATATAGTCTTCTGGGAGGAGGACTGGAGGAGGAATACTTTTGTTTGTTTTCTGGAAAATCTCTGGTGCAGCGAAATGACAAATAGGTACTGACATGAAGAGGGTACGAGTTCTGCAACAAAATGACCAGATTCCCAAAGAAAGGCCATCAGGTGGCAAGCTCTAACAGCACACACAGAGGTTCCAATCAGGATGTTCAGGACCTTTCTCTTAAGCATTCAGTTTTAAACATCATCAGAAATTTGAGGAAAGCATCCAATTTTATAAAAGGCAGAGACCCAAGCAAACAAACTACTTGGCTCAGCTTTCAGTTCCTGGAAAAAAAAAAAAAAAAAAAAAAAAAGAACCCAGAGGAAATGAGAATATGGTAGGGTTGTTTTAAAGGTTAAAAAAATCCTAAATATGGAATACAGAGGAAGAATAATCAGATAATAACTTTTAACAGGAAATAAAAATAACATTGCTAAAATTAAAAAGTTAATAGAAGTGTAGGAAGATAAAGTGGAGAAATTCTATCAGAAAACATAAAAAGATAAAAATATACAAAATTTGTAGCATAAAAATAAAAATAAAATAATTAAAAGGTGGGTTCGAATGATAAAATATGCGGCAAATCCAAGTTCAAGGAGAATACAGTGGAGAAAAAAGATAGGAAGACATTATCAAAAATTAGTGTAAGGCCAGGAGCAATGGCTCACCCTGTAATCCCAGCACTTTGGGAGGATGAGGCAGGTGGATCTCCTGAAGTCAGGAGTTCGAGACCAGCCTGGCCAACATGGTGAAACCCCGTCTCTACTAAAAATACAAAATTAGCCAGGTGTGGTGGTGTGCACCTGTAATCCCAGCTACTCAAGAGGTTGAAGCAGGAGAATCGCTTGAACCCGGGGGGCAGAGGTTGCAGTGAGATGAGATCCTGCCACTGCACTCCAACTTGGGTGGCAGAGTGAGACTCCATCTCAAAAAAAAAATGGTTAAAGGAATTTTCCTCAAATTGAAGAATATGAATTTGCAAAAAGAAAACATTGCCTATTTTAATGCACATCTCATCTCTGAAATTTCAGAGCACTAGGGATAAACAGAATATTGTAAATGCTGTCAGAGAGAAATAGATTTTTAGAAAAAAAAAAATCTGAAATCAGAGTATCACCAGACACTCTATACCACATCTGAAGATAGACGATGATAATGCAACGCCTTCACATTTGTGAAGGACATTTTTATTCACGCTAAAATTCTGTTCCCAACCAAACGATCAATCAATCAATGTCAAACTATCAATCAAGTACAGCAACATATTAAAAGCATTCTCAGATCTCCCAGATCATCTCAAGAAGTTACTGAACAACGAGGATGTTAACTAAAATACAGGAAGACACTGAATCTTCAAAATAAGGAAGCCAGAACAGAGGAGAGGAGAAGCTCAGGATCACTGTGCAACAGCTCTAGAGTGAAACTAGTACACATTGGAGCCAGGAGGATAGAAGGCTACAGAACGCATGTTTCCAAGGGCTAGGGGTGGGCTGGGGAGGGGCAGAATTGATAAAACATCAGTTTTGTTTGATCATGGGGAAACTAAGATTCAAAAGTGTCTTATTGATCAGTTGGAAAGTTTGATATAATATTTGTGATATGTAAACCTAGGCAAATAAAAAATAAAAATCATAAGTAACTTTTGAAAAACAAAAATTGCACAAAATAGAAAATTTAACTATGCTACTTGACTCAGCTCTGAGCAACAATAACATAGTCATAGCAATATAAATAATGACCATGAATTCAACAAAACTAATGTAAAAACATTATATTAAAACAATAGGTAAAGAGGAAGTATGAGATGAGGTAAAAATGCTAAATCTTCATTTGATAAGAGAGAAATACATAGTAATTAAAATTGACAGTTAAAAAACAGCATTAGAAAATATAAGAAAGTAAATGCCCAAAGAAATAGCCAAGAGAGCTTGTGAAAGGGAACACAGGACTAGGATATTTGGGCTTCAAGGAGATATTTTTCAATACCAACCTTGTAAAGATTTTTTTTAGAGTTCGAACTATGTTAATATATTACTTGGGAAAGTGAAAAATAATATTTCAAATAGAATGAAAATTAAACTGGAAGGAAGGAAGGAAGGGAGGAAAGAAGGGAGGGAGGGAGGAAGAGAGGGAAGGGGGAGGGAAGGAGGGAGGGAGGAAAGGAGGGAAAGAGGAAGTTTTCATCCATGTATTTCATTCTAACTACCAGTTAAAGGAAATAATCTGTGTGGTCAATTCTATAGATGCCAAAAAAAATTGATACAATTCTATACCCATTGCTGATATAAATGAAATAAAGGAAAAAAGCCCAAAGCAAAAATAAACAAGAATTTCTCTTTATCTGTTAAAAAAGAGCTTCCTGAAGTCTACAGCAACCACTGTGCTATTAAAATGACAAACCAGATGAGAACAAGAATAGTTACTCTCAACACTAAAATTTAGTAATTACTTACAATCACAGCCAATACCACCGACTAGAAAAATAAAAAAAGTCAATGTCATGAACAATGACCACAGTATATTGTTAAGTGAAAAAAAAAGATGTTTTAGTACGTTCCCATTTATGTGTGTGTGTATACATACTACTAAAAAGTAATATAAGATAAAATTTAACACAGATCATCTCTGGGTAGAATTATGTATGACTTTTAGCTTTTATTTGCTGATATATGTGTGCAGTTTTCTACTGTTGCAGAATTTTTGAAAATTTCTACAATGTTCTACACGATTATTATATATTATACTTTTTATTAGTGCCACATTCATTCTAAGAAACTTTCTTATTTTTTTTACCTTTCTGAAAAACATGTCCTTATCAACCATCTTCTTCTCCATTCCTTCCATCTTTGTTAATAAACTTGAAACTGTAACTGAAAAAAAAGAATTTAAACACATAATTTATGTTTAAATTACCTCCATGTATTTTTCTGCGCTTCAGAGAAGAATTGATCCTGAGTAAAATGGTGAAATTGAAGAGATATTTCTTTAATAGCTCCCTGACTCCCTTTTTTGTCTCTTCCACTTCTATTTCAGTTTTCCTGAAATCAATTATGAATTGATTTTTGAGTGTAAGTTTGCGGTTGTTTACACTCATCAAGATAGTCAAATTTTAAATCTTTCATCCCATAGTTGGTGCTTCCCAAGGTTCTGATCTGGGCCCTACTTGATTTCATAAATACTTAATTGCTGTTAGACTGTCCTCCCATGACATCTGTGCGTGCCTCAGTTTTGGTAGCAAAGAACTCTTCTTAATGAAACTCCAATTAATGTACCTAAACTACAATTATATCATCCATTCCTTTTGTAAAATGCAATGGCTGATGCCCAAAGCATGCTAGACTCTCTCACCTTTTAGCTGTCCAGCATAATCAAGAGCTTCTCTTTCTGCCAGTTGACTTGTATGTGCACCGAAAAGTTGGCACCAAAAAGTTGGTAACATTTCTTCCCAAACCAGTTGTCCTTACTGTTTTAATGATATAATTAAATTATATTCTAAATGTGATTTTGAAAAGTGTGACAAGGGTTGTTTCTATGAAAATGCACGTGAATATTTTTAAAAACTGAATAAAGGTGAGTTGCTAAAAATAACACTGTTAAATTAAATGTTGGCAAGATAACTAAAACACTAGTTTATAAAACTAATACCAACCCAGTACAGTCTTCACTCATTACTTTGCAAGTTTCTTTGATTTTTCACTCCACTTTGAAAAATAAAAACATTAAACCATATGTCATGCATTATGTGGTATATGTAAAAAAAAGCAATGCATAATTATAAGCAGAAGATCTTTACCCAAAGAAAAGGCCTTGACTTATATCAAAAGATCAGTGAATGAGGTCACAATTTTATGTTTTAAATGTAAGTATGAAAAGGTATTTTTAAATTCCCTCCTATAACCAAATTTTATAATTGGGTTAATAAACCAACTTCTGGACCAAACTGCATTTGTTAAAAAATCTTCAACTGAACATCAAAATTATTCATTTACATATCTGCCTCTCCTACTGGAAAAGGAGTACAATCACTACATACAGGTCTTACTCTTTGTTCTCTAGAACCAACTAAATACCCTTAATAAATGTTTGCCTCCTAAAAACATTCAATGGCTCCTCATGGAAGAATAACATAATGTCAAATTCTTGATTTTTACATTCAAAATTTCCTGTGAATTTTTATTAAACTTCATAAATCCAAATTGAAGCCCGCGGGCAAATTGTTCTGCTTGATTTCCTTTAGCAAAAGATCAAAACTATTTATCTGCCTTTCCTCATGTGGTTCGTCCACTTAGAATGCTCTGTCACTCATTTCAACATCCTATCCAACCATAACCCTAATTCACACAGCCATTCAGGGAGGTCTAAAATGCTTTCCCTAACTCCTTACCCCGACCTGATGGTTGGCTATTTTCCTTTCTGGTATCGAAGCACAAGTCATGATAAGCCAGCTCACTCTGGAAAATCCTGGGACTGGCTGAAAACCCAAACAACAAACCAGCAAGGACCCAAGGGAACTGGTCTTACTCAGAGCTAAATGTAGAAATTCAGAGATGCCATTGAGCAGCTGAGACACAGCACTGGGCATGGTTATAAGTTGAGTAATGATTCAGACAAGAGTCAGCCCAAGACTTCCAAGCCCAGAGCACAGGAAAGGCAATAATAATGTGGGTGGAAGACTGCCATCATCCTTGAGTTGTGCTGTGAACTTACAGACTCCAATAAGATCTCAGAGACTCTCTGGGCTACAGGACTGTGCAACTGGTGTGATTCTCTCCTCCTTACCTCGGTTGGGCAGTGTTACAAGGCCAACTTGGGTGTGTAAAGAGCAAATGTGAAAGCCAGATTGAAATAGGCTACGAATGCCTGTGAGTTGGCAACCAGCCAGGATTAGGAGATAACATGGGTACTTAGCAAGATCCCAAGAGAACACTGGATCTGAGGCCTGGAGAACAATAGAAATAATTTATTACAGGAGTCCAAGAAACCAGCTGGCTCACCAGGTACCATGTCTGAAGTACTGACTTAATTTTAAACCATGAAAAATGGGGGATTTTCATGAAAGGGAAGCACTAAAGTTATAGATAATTCCTAATTTAGAAAATGCTCAGTAACTGGCTGGATCATAACTTTAGCAAAGGGTATGAATTCAACCAAATTTTATGACCTTAGAAGAGGCATAGATGGGGGAAATGACATCGTCTCACAGATTAAAAACAGTTTGACTGAGAAATTGGGCTAACATTTCATAGCATAGCTAACTAAAAGATTAATAAACCAGTGACTTAATGTAGATTTTTAAATACAGCAGGCTTTAGAATCTTTGGACAATTTTGATGGTAAGCAGTTGCAGGGCAAAAAGCATAATTTTACTGAGCTAAACAACTCAAGTGAAGCTTCTTCAGACTTGAGGTGATGAAAAAATTTTAAAATTTAAAAGAAGAGAAGCTTCTTCATTCACCATAATAATTTTTTAAAATCTGTTAGTTACCAAGTCACCATGTTTTAGGACCATATTTCTGGATTCCTAGAGAATGCCATTTACTATGACTTGATAAAAATCTAAGTCAACTGCTATTCAGATTCATTTGCTATTAACGAAGCACCTGGATCAACTCTTTCTAATCTCTTTGCAATGGTGTTTTGAGTTTTGCCAGGTATCTGTTTTATAATATTGTCACATCCCCAAAGTAATGATATAAAAAATAAATATTAACAAAATTCATACATATGCAGTATCTTCTTCCATGAAATACTACCTGACTTTGGGCATCTTTTAAGAGCTACAAACCAGTTTCACACATTTGGTCAAAGAATTGGAATAAATTAGGTGTCAACTTTATAGCCTGATTCTTATCTCTTTTCTTCTGGTTTCATTATATCTGTTTTTAGTATTAGTTGTGTAAAATCTTTTAAGATATAGAGAAGTACAACTAACAATATAGTTAATAATTATTGGGCACTTATGTGCAAGAACTTATTGTAGGCACTTCACATATATGATGTAATCTAACCCACACAAGATTATCTCAAGGATCTATCCTTACATTTGTTATTTTGTGAATGAACAACCTACAATCCTTTTACAATCATAGTCCTAAGATTGTCTAAGATCACACAGCTAGTAAGAGGTGGACCTGGGGTTTTTAGCCAAGTTCTCAAATTTTTTAACTATACATTTAATTGTCTGTGTGTGTGTGTGTGTGTGTGTGTGTGTGTGTGTGACTAAGATGTTATCTCCTTCATTCTTTTATACAAAAATTTTATTTTCTTCTTAGGAAATTTATTGAACATTTAGTGCATTGCTCAGTGTACAGAGTATTTAGTAGGAATCAGAAATGGCTAAAAATCAATCCCAGTGCTCAGAAGCTTATCGTAGATGGTAAATATTTTCCAATTAAAATGACAACTTTTTAAACGGGAAAAAAATGAAGAGAACTGGGTGTTTGGCCCTCAAAGTTAGCCTCGGACACTTAGATGTTGCAGGAAGGAAATTAAGTGGCTCTCACTGCACTTCACCGAGAGTAACTTAAACATTGTGAAGAATGGAATCCAATATCTATTGAATACAAATGGAGTTTGTGTCATTATCCTTGGCTATGGAACACGTTTTTAATATGCTTGTCTATGTGATAAGATTGTAAGTTCTTCAAGTGTCGAGACTTTTTTTTAATATTTCTGTAATGCCACAAAATCTAGTATACTGTTACGTCACTCAAGATCGGATTTAACTGAATTGAGATAAGATCTTTTATCTGTATTTAGTGCTCCCGTATGAAATACTTGGGAAATTTCTCATCTTTCTTCCACAGCACTTAAGCTGCTGCAAAGATAACCAAACAACAGTTTGTCCACAATTCCCATTCCCAACGCAAAATAAAGCTCTGCCCCTTCACTCTTTCTTAAAGAAGTGTTTCTTTTTTAAAGAAAAATTTTTTAGACACAGTGTCTCACTGTGCTGCCCAAGCTGCCTCAAACTCCTGGCCTCAAACAGTCCTCCCATCTTAGCCTCCCAAGCATCTGGGACTACAGGCAAAAGCCACCATGCCTGGCTCATATGTTTTTAAACACCATTCTTTTCCTGGATTCTAATGCTCTCATTACATTGAAAGTATTTATCCAAAAATTTTTCTGATGACTGATTTTGATAGGAAAATAGAAGTTTGAAAGAGTCTTTGGAATCTAAGGACACTCACTCTGTCTTTCAATAAAATGATCTATAATTTACTTGCTATTATAATATCATTTCCAAAAATATTAATGCCAGCAAAATTCCCAGACAAAATATGCATCTGTTTTTTAAAATATGCATTCAATTTTGTAGCACTATATTTTTCTTTCCTTAATTACACATAATTAGTGATAGATTGGCCACAAAAAGCTCAAATCCTTGAAGTACCATATTGCAGCATTCTGAATGCCTGTGTTTATAAGATCATGTTACAAGGTTTGAAAGTCAGTTCCTTATTGAGATTGCAAAGATATAGGTTAGACAGATTTCACAGAGAAGAGATCACCTCTTCAATGTGTTTGATTCTAATAGCTGAACTTTGCAGGTTCACATTATTAATGTAAAGATATGATCTCAATGTTTCATACCTTTTGACCTAACCAAAAAGGGTCTTGAATGTGAGCATTCCTAATGTCAAAAATAGAATTAACTTCTTTGAACTTAAACTTATTACTGCATTTTTTCCTTCATTCTGTAAATTCTTCATCCTGTGTTTTTGGTGCACTGGATTTAAGCTTTAAAAATGTCTAATTCAATGATGAGTCAAAATCTGTAAAATACATCTTAGAAAATACTTACAATTCACTTAATTACTTGTAGAGCAGCAGAGTAGCATAGCAGGAATTATACTTTCGATTTTTCACCGTAGGCTCAGGTGGTAAAGTAATTTGTCCTGAATTAAGAGATCATGATAAGATAAAAACGCAACAGTCAAATAAGCATATGCCCTAGTGGTTTGAAAGCTGAACAGCCTGTCACTTGATTTGGGGATGAATGGAATCCTCTTTCTACCATTTGCTGCATGACCTGAAACTTTTTTTGTTTTGTTTTGTTTTTGTTTTTGAGATGGAGTCTCACTCTGTCACCCAGGCTGGAGTGCAGGGGAGATCTTGGCTCACTGCAACCTCCACCTCCTGAGTTCAAGCAATTCTCTGCCTTAGCCTCCCAAGTAGCTGGGATTACAGGCATCTGCCATCATACCCAGCTACTTTTTTTGTATTTTTAGTAGAGACGGGGTTTCACCATCTTGACCAGGCTGATCTTGAACTCCTAACCTTGTGATCCACCCGCCTTGGCCTCCCAAAGTGCTGGGATTACAGGCATGAGCCACCTCGCCCACCTGACCTGAAACTTTTTATTCCTGTCCTAAGCAATGAGGACAATTGTACTTTCCCATCCCATACTTTGTATTGTGTATGACTGTTATGGTTTGAATGTGTCCCGCATAAAGCATGTATTGAAAACTTACCACTGTAACATTATTAAGAGGTGGAACTGTTAAGAGGACATTAGGCCATGAGGGCTCTGTCCTCATGAATGGACTAATGCTTTGATCATATGAGTGGGCTCGTTATTGCAGGAGTTGGTTCCTCATGAAAGGACAGGTTCAGCCTCTTCTTGTACTCTCTCAACCTCTCTTTGCCTTTCCACTATGAGATGACATAACAGTAGACCTTAACAAATGCCAGCCCCTCAGTCTTGGACTTCATGGCCTCTAGAACTGTGAGCCAATAAATTTCTGTTCATTATAAGTTGCCCCATCTTAGTAATTTATAGCAGCACAAAACAGACTTAGACAATGACTTAGACAAGGTTTGTAAAGCAGAACAAAAGTGCTCATTAGGATATTATTGACAAGGAGGCAGATGCCAAATGTTTAGAAACTCTTGAAGACTGGCTTTCAATTCACATTGTTCTCGGTTTTGTTCTAATACACAAAATTAAATAAATTGCCAAAGTGTCATGTTATATTTCATTTTGTTTTCCATGATCCTGTGCATAGTGAGCATGCTGTCGCAGCGAGAAAGACAAAGTGTAGCCTAAACCATCTCTTCTCATTATAGAATCATTCATTCTTATTCTAGAACCAACACTTTTTATTTTCCCTGTTATAAAATCTGCAATGCAGCGCAAATCCCTGGATCAGTGGATGAAGGAAAGGGATAAAGTGTAATAATTACCCAATTTCCTGGGGGTGGATGGGAACACAAAGAGAATGGAAGAAAAGAGAAGAAGGAAAATACCAGAGTCTCCGGGAGACAAATGGGCTACTCAAAAGTGGTTGCCTGGAATGCAGGGAATGGAAGCCTGAGGTAATTGTTTGGAACTGAATGAGTCTGTTGTTGAATACTATTTTAAAATATTTGAAAAGTCCATAACCTCTAAGTAAAGTCAATGTTTTTATAACAAATTCAACCAGAGTAGTACACAGCCATCACTCCTTCTAAAAACACTAGAAATTCAATGATTATAGTTAGTATTATAAAATACGTTCTATAAACTAGCTACTGTAATTTTTTAATGGATTCTAAAATAAGAAGGGCCCTATAATGAATGGGTAATGAAAACAGATGAGTCATTCTTTCTTGACAATTATATCCCTAGATTTTATCATGGTTGGGTACCATGGTGTAAACTTGAAGTTCAGGTTAATGAAATGGATCATAACCAAAAACACAAAGCAAAAACAGAGGGAAAATTATCTTCTCAGTATGTCTACTTAATTTAGATTTGATATTTATAAACTTGCATCTCTTGTCATCTCTGTGTCAGACATTACCTCCAAGGCAACTGGAAGCCCAGTTTACCACATTTGGGAGCTGTTAATTACTGCTGACAGGGTTCATATTCATCAATTTTCTCTCCCTACTATAAAAATCTCTACAACCTGGAGGAGAGAGTTATCTTTTTGCAGCCCACCCTGAGCCTTCAACTTTGTTGTAGATTTCAAACTCAGCTAAGTGTGTCCTCAACCTCTCTACCCAGTAATGAGTTTCTGCTCCAGCTGCTTTGTTTCGGTTGACTCTTCAGTTTTCTTTTAAATAATATAAAGACAGCCTAGTCCTTCCTCTGTGTCTACGTCAGGGTCAAGAAAGTCAGGTGGCAGGCCAAAGGAAGTCAGTCATCAACTATATGTGGCTACCAAAGCTTTACGTGTCCATACAAATCCAAGATTGTGTTTGCTAAGTCAGAGTGAGCCAACATCAATTTTTAGATAATATTTTTCTTTACTCAATACACTTGAGTAGGAAGAAAGTCACACATGCACTTCAGTTTCTATGTGCCAAGAGGAGCCTCTCCCAAACCTCAAACTCCATCTTAGCATATCCTCAAAGCCTAGTGAGTCTCAGAGAAAAGATGCCAGTTGTCTTGGGAGAATAAGTTACTTTTCATATCACCCCAGATTTTGTCAGAAAGAACTTCATCTGACAATATTTCCTGGTGCTATAAAATGTTGCCATTTGTTTTATTATGAATTCACTAAGTTGGGTTAATTCAACAAAATGTATTTAGTGATTTCTCTTCTCCCCACGCTGAGCAAATTTGCTATCAGTCTATGTCCTTAGGGAATTTACCCTCTAGCTAACGTAGATGACCACTAGTGAAATAGTTTTTAGGCTATTCACAGAGCAAGCCACAAGCAAGAACCAAAAAAAATACATGGCAACCATGTCAGTGTTCACAGAAGTTCACTTTTTAAATATAACAATAAAGAGTAAATGGGAAAATAACTCTATGGTCATTTTCTGCTATCAGCATATGTCTAGTAATTTATTTTAGACTGGCTACTGGCTTCATAAAAAGCCCAACACTCAAAAGTCTTGAGATCTGACATTTGCAATAGTGGCAATAAACTAGAAAGAAGTTGCTAGGAAGATGCTATACAACCCTCGGTATAATAGCACAAAAATCCCAAATACGCAGTGATGATGGTACAATCATCCACCAACCTCGAATTCCTGAAGTCCCTTCAGATGCCATGCAGAAACTGAGGTCTCTGAATCATTCAAGTAATAGCCGGGTTCATACATAAAATAGAATCTTCAACATGTTTTTAGATCTGAAATTTGCTTACAATTTAGAGAAGAAGGCAAGCCATTCTATGTATCTCTCAAAACTGCAATAAATCCTCCTCAAATAATTGGGCAAGACTCCTAAAAACCTAAATGATCTTCATAGAAAAGATTTTAGAGTTGACAGATTTCCAAACTTAAGGAAAAATAAATTGAGAAGAATAATTTTATAAGGGAACCTAGAGGATTTCTTACAGGTATTTTTGCATTTATTAACAAAGGTTTTTGGGATTAATAATTGTAAACAATGAGTCTAATGTATATTATTGGGGTGATGGTTACATCAAAAGCCCAAACTTTCCCATTACAAAATATATCCCTGTAACAAAACTGCACTTGTAACCCTTACATTTATACAAATTTGAAAAAAGAAAAAATTGCAAACATTTCAAAACCTTCCCTGGGCCAGGTACTTTGCACACATTATTTCCATTGTGCAACAATGCTAAGCAACATCCTCATCCTACAGATGAAGTTTAAGAACTTGTCCAAAGTCAGACACATAGTAAATAAAAAACTGGAATTTAAAAACCAGAGTTGTATCATTTCAAAGCCCATTCTACATTGGTGATGATGGTGGTGGTGATGGAAGAGAGGAAGGCACTGCAAAATCTCGACTTACTTCTGACAACATCTTTGTGCTTTTGTGGAGTTTCTAGCTTAAGTTTTCAAAAAACACAGATGTCTGTGTAGTATTTGTATCTTTTTTTAAGGTCTTTCTTCATCCAATCATTCAGGCTTTGCTTCTGAGTCTCCGCTTACATACTGTTCAAAACAGAGTCTTGGGGGACCACATATTTACAAAGCTGTCTTACAAATTGGCAAACTGCCTCCTATATTGGTCAATGGGAATGGCTGGGTGGTACTGTAGCTCTCTGTCTCTGTAACCTGAGCACTGGATCTGCATTTTCCTTGGCAGCTGTGTTTCCCTGACATAATTAATTTCTTGTGCCCTGTGGCTAGGGGAAGGACATTTTAAACCCTCTTTGCCAAGAAGAGTCACTTCATGCCAACCTCCACCAAGTTCAGTACAGATTTTCACATTGCATAGCATCATAATGTGTCCTGCTTTTTCACCATGATACATCTCAATGGCAGCTGTAATTCATAAGCATTACCTTTTTTTGCCTTATCCTAGTAGCCAGATTGTCTTAGATTCCATTAAGAATCATAGTGGACCATAATAGTCTTATTTAAAAAATTTATGAAGGTATTGATGCTTGATTTTTTACTCTTCATGTAATTAATTTACAAATCTGATGAGATGAAATATCTCTACAAAGGAATAGTGTTCCCTCCAAAGCTCAATTTGCCATCATCTTCTTGCATCTAGCCTAATTCCAGGTTAGAGAAAGCAGAGGTTTTCAAGCAACAGATTGAGATCTGCAATCTATGTGTAATGACACCCAAGTCTAATCTCCAGCCAGATCACTACCCTCAGCTCCAGATTTGTAGCAGCATTTGCAAAGAGATATCATCTCTTAGATGCCCCACACATTCTTCAAACTAAATATGCCCAGATATAAATTCCAAAACTAATTGCCTCTTTTATATCTCTTGACTTTCTTAATGGAACCCCATCTAACCCATTCATCCAAGCCAGAAAACTGAGAGTTTAATAATAAATCACTAGTTCTATCTTGTCATTTTCAACGTTTAAATAACTTTAAGTCAAATACCTTCCTCCTGTTCTTTACCAGTTATTTTATTGGCAGCCTCATTATTAACATGCTGGTCTTGCTGCCTACTGCACCCACCCAAGCCTTTCCTACCGTGCTCCTTTAGGAAAGAAGCATTAATCCATTTTTTGAACAAGGGCTACCACTCAATGGTTCAGAGCAAATGCCTGACCCAAGGGTCTGTCCAGTGATTACTGAGGTTGCCTAACTCATAAAATTCTGTAAAACAGAGACAGCAGCATCTAGCAGATTAGTTCCTTCCATAATTTGGATATGGAATGGGGGTTAGGGAGCTGATCTATCCTTCGAAAAAGGAGAGTGGAGCAGACATGCTGAGTGAAGCCAAGGATTTGGTGTGAGAAAAACAGAGGGAGAGGTTGGCCCTTGGAGGTGCTGAAGCATAGACAGATTGCTTATTGTTAATCTGGCACACAAGTATACATAAATAAACACACATTTTTTACTAAGAAAATTAGTCTCTATGCCTTGCAACCAGAAAGATGTAGCTAACACAGGTAGGGGTGGGGGCAGTGTCAAGAGCAGCTCTGCAGTCCTAGTTCCTCAGAGGGGGTGTGAGTTTGTTTGCAGGTTTATGGAAGGTTGAACAATCCCTTGAATAGTGGAGCATAAGCTACCCATGTGCAGCCAAGATAAAGTGGATACTGTCCTGGCCAAAACAGGGCTTTGGTGCTTTTGCTTTGGAGCAATTCCAAGGAAATAGAAAATGCAAGTAAAATTCTCCCTCCCTCTGTGTCTTTCTCCCTGCACTGCCTCTTCTGGAAGGATAGGCACCAAGTTATTAAAGGGGTTGCTTTTGCTTGGTGGAAATACAAAAGACCTTTAAGATCTTAAGATCTTTCAAATTATTTGTATTTTCTTTTCTTTCCTCCAAAAATGTACATGCATTAGTTTGGAGATAAAGAAATAAGAAAGCAAAATGGGAAATAAAACTCACTAACACCAGAGCTGGACAACAGCCTCTCATAGGATTAGATGGTTTGCAGTAGAGAAGCACATGCTCTGGTCCCAGGTAACCTGGCTGAAGGCAGATAAGGAAACACAGGGCCACCATATGACTTGGCTTCAGGAAACCCTTTCTGTTATTCTGAGACCACTTAAAATCAGATCCAAAACTAATAGTTCCCACTGCTGAATTGCAATGTCAAGCTGAATTGTCTGACTTGCCAGGTTTCTATGGTTAAAATTAATGCCCTGCTTGGCAAAGACTGTCAAACTAGCAATTGGAACCATCTGAGAGGAGCCAGAGAAGCCTGGATTTCCCAACTCCTGGGTCCCTCTGAATTACATCTCTGCATTTATCTGTTCCCGCCAAGAGTAGAATGAGAGGCAGGTTCATCATGAGGATTCAAAAGTAACTTTAGATCCAGTGATATTCAAAATCAGAGTATGGGGAAAGAAGGATTATATCAAAAAGAACTTATAGGAGGTGTCTCAGGAGTCCTGGGGAAGAGCTTATTGGGAATAAGTAGACATGAATTTTACATTTGCTTAACCAAGGAGAACAAAACATAATTTGAAAAGATCTAGCCAAACTTATTCTAAGATCAGGATGAGAAAGGAAGGGAAAGAAGGGGAAGAAAAGGAAAAGGATTTTACCTACGTAGGCACATTCTGAGCTTTACGGTACCTTACATTACAACAAGAGGATGTGACCAATACAGACTGGTGTTGTAGACATCATTCTATGCTGCCAAAGGTTTAGACTGGACATGGCCAATGTGGAAAAAAAGATTTACAAATGATGCAGAAGATAGAAATGTTAGAACATACATCTCTCCTTGTATCCTACTCAACTCTTCTAATAGGCTCTCTATTTGATCTGGGACACACACATTTCTTTTAATGTTTAAAAATAATTTAATAAGAGAAGGCATTTTGAGAACGAAAACTGCATCTTTGATTAGGATGTGCAGATAGTGAAAAGAATCAGATATTAAAAAACAAAAAGATTATGCAAGTATACCTTCATTTAATAAAATAGTAGCACCCAAATGAGTGTGACATTTCTAGTGCCATAGAATAAAACCTAAAATCATCTGTGTGTTGGGCTCCAGAACCAAAAGGGAACCAAATTAATAGACATTCCCATAAAGTTCATCTTGGTAAGGACAATACTAATACGCCAAATACCTTATAGGGTTTGCAATTAAAAAACTGAGAGAAAGGGCCATTCGCTCAGTTTTTTAGTTTTTCCGGAGCAGAGGTGTATAACCACAGAGAGAAGCAGAAACTCTCTATGACATTGAATTCATGTGGCAGACCTGAGATTAACCAGTCCTGATGATCTCTATGTCCAGTTTGCACGTGAAGAGATCCCCTTTTTCTCAGAAAGATCTGAGTGAGTCTGACTTGGGCAATCGGAAGATCTTGACTATCATCTCTCACCAGGGCTTTTGCAAGCTGGTTTTACATTCTTCAATCTTCAGTCTTTTCCCTCCACTCTACCGGCTATCTAATTCCTAGAACAAAATTTCCAAGACGAAATCCAGGCAGATGATTCCATCTTTAAACCCTTCCATGACACATAATATGATCCTGCAGACTTTTTCTGTTCCTTTGCTTAACACACTCATGCTTCATGCTCCAATCACAGAAACATCAAGTTCCCCCAGCCGGTCAGTTCTACTGCCAATAAACATATAGCTTTTTCTCTCCTCATTGCTTCCATCCTCTGGTATGCCTGAATCTACCATCCACCCTTGGTGAACTCTGAATTATGCAGGACTCAGGCTAAAAGAATCCAATTAGGCCTTCTCAGGAAACCCCCCCCCTGAGCAAGCTTAGAAAAGGTTAGCCATGTCCCCACATCCATTCCTCTCTAGCTCCCTTCTCTGCCATTATGCAAATGATCACAGCTTGGTCTCTCAGTTTACCCTTGTGTTTCTCCCACTGCCGTGTGATCTCCTTGAGTGGGAAGAATGCTCTTTAAATTTAAAAATCAACTTTAATTATCTTTAAGGCCTCAGCACCCAGAAGTTAAGTAGGATGCTATAAGTGTTTACTGAAAAAAAATGACTAGTGATCATTACTTACTAGATGTCATCAACAGTCACAGGTAATACCTGAGAGAGGGCTTGGGATTGCTAAGATGAAGTCTCTGTGTAGAGTTCAGGGACAGATCACCACGACCTGTTGTATCCCATTTTTTTGGGAAGCCCAGCAAATCTAAAAGTGAATAAATTTCAAATCCTCTCTCCTAAGGCCCATTCCCATGACTTGGAGAACTTTCTATCTGATCATGTATTCAGGACGTTATTGACAATCAACATGGCTATGACTCTTACACAATTCTTTTGTTTCACTTAAAATATTGGGCAATAAAGTTGTGATTCTGCCATCCTGCAAGTAGAGAGAGCCTCTACAGGTCCTGTACATCCTAACTCTGTTTGTGTGCCAATATTTGAGATGTAATATTCTTGTGAGTTCCTCCTAATATTTCAGCAAGCCTTTATTAATAGTGCACTACATGCCAGGCATGGTTTTTATTGTCACCACTTATTGAGTGTACAGCAGGGCTAATAATTCATGCACTACCAGTCAGGTTTAAAAAAATGTAATTTCTTTATTTCCTACATTTTATCTAATTTCGCTCTCAAGCTACCACACTTCTGGGTAATGAGAACAATGTGACTGTTGAATTGAAGTATATCATTTCTTTGGGGCAGTCACTTTGAAGTAAATCGTTAGTCCTTTCACTCTTCTCCACCTGCATTCCCAAGATGGTTTCGGATATGTCAGGAATTTTCAAGACCATGGAGTTTTTGGGTTAGAAGGCATCTCAGGGCTATGCCCAGGGATTTCAGGAATGAATGACCTTTCGATCCGCACTGACTTCTGCAGGAATATCCTAACTGCCAGTCTCTGGCTGTCCTGTGAGAATGAAGTCTGGGTCTAGTGGACTCATGGGCTGTTCTCATGCTGGTTCCATCCCACCTCGGCTCTCACTGGCACTGTGAGCTTGTGAGTATCAGCTAAATCCTTCCTCCAGCTCTGGTTAAGCCACCTGCCCTTTAGCAGCGGGATCACTCTGCTGTAGTTCCACAGCTGACTCATGGAGTCTCCATCCAGATACCTCCTATGTCCCCTAACAGTCAAATACATACAGTCTTGGCTTCCTTCCATGGCACATGAGACTCAGGTGTGTGCAGAGTTAGAAGAGAAATTGGGAGCAGGACTTCCAGCCCCCTGGATGAGCCCTCTCTCAGCCACTTGTAAGACATCGTCTAGGATAACACTTCTCAAACTATCTATACTGGGTTTTTTTCTTTTCAACTCATTACAGATCAACATTTTTGTAAAATACAATAAAAAATACTAGAAACAAAATAACAAAGAGGTACACAATACAGGCCCCAGTTTTTATGAATTACTATTTGATTCAACAGGCATAAGACTAGTCTATGAAATTGCTTTAAAAGTTTCCAGATTCTTATTTTTCCCCTTCAGAACTTATCTCAGTGTAGATGGAAGGTCTAACAGAGGATTACAGGCCAGCACCTTCTCAGGACCACGCTTAGAGCAGCGCCGGTCTACAAGGTGCCACATTGAACGGAGCACTTCTCTGGGGTGATATCTGACCTTCCCAGGTAGTGCCCAGGAAGGGAAGAAAAATCCTACCATTCTGGGATTCTGCAGTTTCTCTTTTATATTTTTTCTAACAGCCTTTGAAAGCCACACCCACCTATGCTTGCTTTCACCATACCCCAGGGTTTTAGCCTCAGGAGTAAAGCCAGGAGACACTTCTTTCCCCGCCTGGGTCTCTAGCAGTGTCTGCCTCTCTGACCAGGAGACTCTCCACTCTCTCCTCTTGCTTTCTCTCTACTTGAGGTTTATGGACAAAATTCCCCATCTTTGCTTTTGATATTTGAACAAGAGAGATTTTTTTCTTTGTCTCTTTCATTGTTTTCTTTCTTTCCTTCCTTCCTTCTTTCTTTTTTTCTCTTCTCTCCTTTTGTTTCTTTTCAGCATTTTAGGAAAAACAACTCTTTCACTCCCTAAAAGGCTCAACTCTGTTGCTAGAAAATTTTTTTTAAGTTGGCTTTGAAACGCAAGCCTGATCAATGCCCTCTTTGTTCCAGATGGTATCCACCCTCCTCCTGGAGGGATGACTGCCATTGACAAAATGGGTGGGGAGCCTCAGAGGCAAGAAAAATTTACAGAATATGAAAATATTTCATAAAATGCTTATTGCGTGCACATCTGGGTGATAAAAATAGCAGTGACTATGAAAGGTTTTAAAACTATCACTATTACATTATATTTGCTTGATGCATGCATAACATGATGCTCTAGATGGAAACATTTATATATTTCCCTTACTATTACCCTCATCTTACCAGAAGACAGGAAGAGTTCCCATATTTTGTATATTTACATACATATAGAACCAAAAGTATCACTAGTATAAAGTTAGAATTATCAGAGTTATTCACTGAGTATGAGTGAGTGTATCTAAGTGTGTGAGTGTGTCTGTGTGAGTGTGTGGGGTGTGTGTGTGAGTGAGTGTGTATGCTTGTAAACAATTGGAGGGAGAATGATCCTTACACACTCTTGAAATTTTAACTTTACATACCAGTTAACCTCAGCTTTACTCTCATGAAAATTGAGTTGCCCAAATAATATTGGTTTGTTTTTAATAAATATCCTTGAATTTTAAAACTTGCAATTTTGTAAAATTGCCTGAAAAATTACTTTACAGAATTCAAAATAACCATCAAAAGAAACTAGAAAATCAAGACAGTGTTTGTATGTTTTCTTATCAATTATTTATTATAACCATATGAATAATTCTAGTTATTATTTTTATTTCAATAAATATTATGTACTGGAAAGTTGCTGTAAAAAATAAATTCTGAGTTGTCTGAGATCTTATCTCTTTAAGGCTTATACCTGAACACAGGTCAAATTCATCTCAGTATCTGAAATTTTTGCTCAGAGCCTGTAATATTGAAGAAATCAAATAAATGCTCCCCAAATTAATTATTGGGAGTAAAATCTTACCTTTCCCAGACTTCTATTGGGTTCACTGTCCCTCCATGCATGCACATTTTAAATTAAACTAACTTAATAAAAAAGATGTAGAAACATAAATTTTTTTTAAATTCTAAACAAATATTACTATATATCCTACAGTATCTTTTAAAAATCCATTCTCAGGGCACCAGAGTCCAGAAAGAAAAGAGAGGGCACATTCACATTGTATAACTTGAAGAGAATTTTTTAAAAGGATTACTTCTGAGGGTGTCAACAGAATGTAGGAAAACTACAAAAGGTACCACTGGGCTGGTTAAAGGGGGCACTGTGACCATGCTCAGGCTAACGAAGCCAGTGGAGCAGAAACTCATGATGCAGAAAGCTTAGATGGAGAATATTTAATGAAACCTACCATCCTCAGATGACTCTACCAAAAGATGGTAGAACACAGATGTACATTTCCATTAAAAATGCAAGCAGCATTTTAAATGACATAGAGTTGAATCCATCTTCTTTCCCACTACTTGCTCTTATCTCTTTCTTGACAGTATCTGTGACTTTGGGTCAAGGGTTGCAGCACACCCAAAATGTTCTCCCCCACCTGCAAGAAAAGGGCCTGGGCAATAAATAATCTGTCTTCTCTCTCCCTCCTCCTTCTGATCTCCTGCTGGTGCTCCCCATTGACCAACTCAACCAGAAGTCAGAGGAAGCCTGCTTGGGTAGATCAGAGTCCTAATTTCCAGAGCAGGGTGGTGAGAGTGGTAAGTGAAGTTAGAGAAAAAACACAAGATATCCAACATACCAAATATGCTGTCTTGCAATGCATGCTCTAAGAGGACACATGGTTGTTGTATGTGTGCTCTCTAAATAAATAAATAAAATGAAACATTTTGCACTTGGTAAGTGCTTTAAAAACATAAAAGAGCTAATGAAAGGCTATATGCATGCATATCAAGAGTAACATAATTTGTCTTATTTTCTTTTCATAATACCTTGTAACCACAGTAAATACATTTTTTGAGTTTTTCTTTTGTGCCATTATCATGAATTCTTGGATTGTAATGAATGTCACGTGTGTGGCCATCAGCCATAAAAAAAATTCAACTGCCAGGTGCGGTAGCTCACACCTGTAATCCCAGCAGTTTGGGAGGCCAAGGCGAGCTGATTATTTGAGGTCAGGAGTTCGAGACCAGCCTGGCCATCTCTCCTAAAAAACACAAAAATTAGCTAGGCATAGTGGTGTGTGCCTATAATCCCAACTATTCGGGAGGCTGAGGCAGGAGAATCACTTGAACCCAGGAGGTGGAGGTTGCAGTGAGCCGAGATCACACCACTGCACTCCAGCCTGGGCAACAGAGTGAGAACCCATCTCAAAACAAACAAACAAACAAAAAACCTTAATTAAATGTATGGAATTTCCCTGTTTGTGAGTCTTGCCTCTCAAGGTAGGAACCAAGACTGCTTCCCAATCTCAGACATGAAGCCTACCTCCCAACCTTAACAGAGAGACTTCACAGCATGAGGACCCCTTTCCCTGGCAGGCTTGTGAAACATGGCACAGGACCCTGTCATTCTAGGATTCATAGCAGTAGGTGTCCCTTGCTCAGCCCTTCAGTGTGGACTTGCAGTTCGCACGCCCAGCAAGAATGTGATTTCAATATTTTCCTGGCTGTGAGGCCTCTGTGTCTGATTTTTTGGCCCTCTCAAAGATTGTATAAACCATCTTTAATAACTTTCTTTTCCACTAAAAGTAGTTAAATTAAATTCTGCTGTCTGTAAGTTTCTTTTAGTGAATGGTGATACACATTTTAAATGACATTTTAATTTAATCTTATGAGATATTCCTGCCAATAAAAAAACTGGAGCTTGGAAAAGTGAAGATTAGACACCTTGTAGCTGGCCAAAGGACCAACCACAGAGAGCTTTCTGGTGCCAAAGCTCCTGTTCAGTCTGCTTTCCGCGATGCCTTTTCACCCCATCTGCTAAGCTAATTCACCTAAGAAGTCAAAACAAACTCTTCAAAGGAAGTGAGTCCTGAAAGAGTTGCTCTAGAGAAAGCTGAGGCAAAAAGATAATTATGAGTTGAACAGATTTATAGATACAACTGCATCTACATAAAAGGAATTTTTAAAATCTGGTTTGTTTTCAGCATAAGCAGAAAAAGTGCTATGATTCAATCTTTGAAATATGGGAGTGACATCTATCTCAAACCAAACACATCAGAATGCATTTCTTTTGTTTTTTTCCTATCACTAAGCATCTTTAAACATGAAATTCCTATGTCATCTAGGCCCCCTCTTGGCCCTTAAAACACAACATATATTTGGTTTCTTCTATAGTTTAGGTATTTGCCAAAGTGTTAGTATTAGGAGATGGAACCTTTAAGAGGCAATTAGGTCATGAGGTCTCTTCCCCCTTGTGAGTGGGATTAGGTGTCTTTATGAAAGGGTTTGAAGAAGGGAGTTCTTCTAGCTTGTCCTCCCTCCTGCCCTATGAGGACTCAGTGTTCCTCCCCTTCTAAGGATGCAACCCTTACCAGATAACCAAACCTGCTGGCACATTGATCTTGGACTTCCAAGCCTTCACGACTGTGAGAAAATAAATATCTCTTTTTTATAAATTACCCAGTCTCAGGTATTTTGTTACAGCAGCGCAAACAGACTAAGACAGTGTCCATTAATTCCTAGAGAAGCAGTTGAGAAATTCTTCAATAACATTTCTGCTCTGTGTGCTATATTCTGGTTCCAGAACTCATGCATGCTCTGCTGCACCCTTTTCACCACCACCACCCCAGAAAACAACTTGATTGGAGATTTGTGGGCACAGAGAAGTGTTATATATCATGCACCTGTCTCACATCTTGTCTTTTCTTTCCTTGTTCTCCCTTCTCCCATTCTTCCTTCCAAGGGTGCCTGCAGTTCTCCCAATTATGTTCCCTTTAGGAAAAAAGAAAATGAAATCTTTCCCTTACAACAAATATATATCCAAACCCATCAAAATGTTCAGCAAAACAAAAGATCACCATCCACTTAGAAAACTATTGTCTTCAGAAGGCTTTAACAAAGGCAGAGGAACCAAGCTAAAGAACATAAATATACATTTCTGTTACAAATACTAGTAGCATAGGGACACGTTAGCAATCATCAGAACTTTCTTCCTAACAGAAAGTGCCAGAAGAAAGGAAGAGATCAGACATCGTGAAGGTATGTGGGGCAGAGAGGAAGTTGCTGAGAGTTAGGCTTATAATGTTGGTTTCTTCCATATTTTTTGACTTTTTAGATTGAATTTTATTTAGTCTAAGCAGGAAGTCTTTGATTGTATTATTTAAACTGTGCATAGTGTTCTTGCTGCATGTGGAAAGTAGATGAAGGCTTGGAGGAAATTGGAACAAAAGGTGGGAAATGATCCTTGTTGACTTAAACACACAGAATCTCAGGCTATGAGTAACTTTGGCAGTAACCAGTTTGCATAGCATAGGAATGGAAGTGTGGGCTGTAGAGTCAAATAAACCTGGGTTTGAATCCTGGCTGTACCATTTATTTATGGTATGATTGTCGGCTAGTGCCTGGAACTCATTGGTTCTCATTTGTAAAGAAAGGGTAATAATAGTTTCTACCTCATAGGTATGTCTGTTGATTAAAGTAGGTGACATATAGAGACCACTTAGCCCAGTGGTTTTCTTCCACATCTTTAAAAAGAAAATTTCCTTGGCTGGGCACTGTGGCTCACACCTGTAATCCCAGCACTTTGGGAGGCCCAGGAAGGTGGATCACTTGAGGTCAGGAGTTCGAGACCAGCCTGGCCAATATGGCAAAAACCCTGTCTCTACTAAAAACACAAAAATTAGCTGGGCGTGGTAGCAGGCACCTGTAATCCCAACTACTCGGGAGGCTGAGGCAGGAGAATTTCTTGAACCCGGGAACCGCAGGTTGCAGTGAGCCGAGATCACACCACTGCACTCCAGCCTGGGTGACAGAGTGAAACTCTGTCTCAAAAAAAAAAAAAAAAACAGAAAAAGTTCCTTAAAAGAAAGAGCTTTCAATCTGATTCTAAGGATACCTGTGTATGCTGTCTCTGGGTCTCTAGTAATAATTTGAGAGGTAGCAGCAAATAGTGTGATAGTGGGGAAAGGTGAATAAACACTAAGCCAGCATAATTCATTTTCTTGGAAAATCTGTGCATTCTAAGAATTTAAAAAATTATTTGGAGAAGTCCACAGATTTTACTAGACTGTCCAAAGTGTCCATAGCATGAAAATAATTTCTACTTGTGCCTCCTCTTTAATGTAAGACATCCAAGTGTAGATCATAGCTCTGCCATTGAATTGGCAACCTTTACTCATTTTACAAAATATGTGTGTCAAACTATTGAAATATAAACTAACGAAACTGATTTCTCATGCCACATGCAAAAACCCGTTTCATTACCTTGTAATCACATCTCACACTATGTGAAACCAAAGCATAATAAATATGCATAAATCATATTACAGAGCCTCTACACCTTACACATTCATGATATCTTTCTAACAGATCTAATGGGTATTTGTAAATCTCAGGAAAGTAATTTTTAAATGTAAAACCAAGGACTGTAGTCGTATCTGAAAGGGAAGATCAGGTATCCTAGACTAGTTCAAATTGCTAGTTCTACTTTAAGACTTTAACAAACTGTGGCTTTTTATACTCAATATAGTTTGCAAAAGGAATTGAACTGGAATAACTAGTTAGAGATAGTATTTTTTAACATAAACTAACAGACTGCTTGGGTTGCTTATATTTTAGATCTAGTATTAGTAAGTTGTTACTATTTTCCATTTTTTTTTAAGTTAATAGTCAAGGCACTCCTCTTGATTGGTTCTTCTGCTCTCTGGGAAAGCACACATTTCTCAAAGAGCTCATCAGTTTGCTGCCTTTTGTTTACAAGGCCTAGTTACAATAAGTTTGAATGTGACTGTTGAGGTATGAGCCATAAACCTAAAAGCCACTGATACCTGGTCAACATAGGTAATTTGAAGTGAAAGGAGAAAATCTCAGTCATTCACAATTTCTCTCAAAAATGGGAATGACTGGAATTTTTAAAAAGGGAATTTAAATCATTCTGTTTTTAAGACAGAGCTAGTGAAGGTAAATATATACGTATATTTACATTTTATATATATATAGACAGAGAGAAATAAAAGGTAAATTTTATAGCTTATATATACCAAATACCTCCCCCTGAATTGGCCTTTCTGATGTTCTAAGAAATTTTGTTTTCAAGGGTGCTAAGGAATGACTCATTTGTGTGAGTCTAAGGCTCTGTACTTTCTAACTTGTCTTCTAAGTAGGCCTGTATGCTAGAGCTGTGCAGCCATGCAACAATGATTTCTTCAGGGAGATGTCAGGAAAAATCCGAGACCATTTACTTCCTTGTCACAAGAGACCTGAAACCCTGGTGCAGAAGCACGCGGCTCTCATTAACCTAGGAGGCAGACATTGAACACTGAGATGCAAGAGGGAAAATGAGCTCCTTCTAGGATTACATCAGAATGCATTGATGCTAGTTGGTTAAATATAAGTGAAAGAAAATAAATATAACTCAACAAAATAAAAAGATTTTTCAGGGCTTTGGGCATTTATATTCTTATGATGCTAAGAGTGGTCAAGAAGGAAAATCCTATCTTGTGATAAGGCAACAATAAAGAAACCTCAGATGTGGCTTACCCAGATAGGAAATGATAAATCAGCCACCTGCGTGCCACAGATGCCAAGCTCTTTGAATTTTCCTGCTAATTCAGAAACAGAATATACTGCTTGTCACATGCTTCACATAAAATCCTTTGAAAGGGGAATTCATTAGAGAGAGAGTTCACAATATAATGAAGCAGACATTTATTGCTAAAATGATTGCTGACCTGGCTTTTTAGTTATTTTGGTTCACATTAAGATACTCCTAGCTTCTGGCTTCAAAAGCATATTGAGTGTAAAGCAATGTGTAGCAGTGCCCTATGCTTCCAGAGGTCACTGGCAGAGTAACTGCAGGTCCCAAGAACACATCTGGGAATCCAAACATAAGTGGAAAAAAAGGTCTTTGAACAGAGTGGAAAACAGTTGTCACAAAGCTCAGACACTGTCTTCTGAAGGAGAAGAAAGAGTTGATATGGCCATTGAAACATTGAATCCTAGCTCTCTTAGTGATAAGTTGTCAGTAGCCGGGGTTACTTCCATCAGGAAAATGTAAATAATAATATCTACTTTATAAAGTCTCTATGAAAGTTTAATCAATGATGCATATAAACATCTACCTGAAACATAAGAGACACTTAAATGGTAGCTATTATAATTATTATTTTGAAGACTGTAAGAACATCTTTCATTCCTTCCTTCAAATGATAAAGTATTAATTGAGGAAGCAGATTAGAAACCAAGAGGATATTCACTACATAAAAATTAATAGCTGAAAGAAATTAAGTAGCCAGAAGAACAATCAGGGCATAATGCTCAGAAACCAGTCCCATTCTTGGCAAAGCCTTCGTTCATCACCACCCCTTAAATTATAGCACAGAATTAATGATAACAGTTAAACATCAAAGGAAGATCAGCCTTAGTGTAAGCTGTAGAAGAAGGCAAGGGAAATAAGCAGTATTTTCTTCAATAAATTTTATAAATATTTTTCAATTAAATAAAACCGCTTGCTTCTTCAAGATATAAACTCCAAATTTAAACTCTACTAAGATAGTGTTTTTCACCTATTAGATTTGCAAAGGTCAAAAAGTTTGGTGTGTTGTTGTCACGGAAGCTGAAAGAGACATTTTAATATATTGTCGGTGGGAGTGCATCTTGGTAATTTGATAATATCTGTGAAATTACTAATGTACATACTTTTGACTCAGTAAGTGTACTTCAGTATTGCACACTAAAAATATACTCTCAAGCATGTGAATTGATGTGACAAGGTTACTCTTTGCAGTAATCTTTGCAATAGCAAAATATTAGAAAAATAATATTACTCAATATTGTAGTAGTTAAATAACGTTTTGCATTCAATGGAATACCTTGCACATGTTAAGAAAAAAAAGTGGACATTCTTTAATGTTTCGACTAGTCGAAACATTAAATGTTTTTTAATGTTTAAAGTCATTTTAAACATTTAAGTCATTAAAAAATTTTTTAATGACTTTTTAAATGTTTCAACTAGTCGAAAACAATTTCTGATAACTTGTTAAGATGAAAAAAAGATGTGAAAAGAGTGTATAACATATGTGGATGAATGGATAAAATAAATATGTATATGTTACTTATATATGAGTGAAATATCTCTGGAAAGATACACCAGAAATTAGCAACACTGGTTGAACTGAGGGGTTGGAGAGTGAGGTGAAAGGCAGATCTTCCACGCTTTCATACCTCTTGAATTTTGAACCATGTGACTATATTACCTATTCCGAAAGCAAAACAATCTTCCTCTTCCCACAGTTAGCAGAGGGAACAAGGCCTAGAAATGGAAGACTGATCATGGGGGCTGTTGAATGGGGGCAGTCCCTCATACAAAGTCCAATACACGAGTTAAGCTCGGTGCCATCTACGGAAAGGGAAGCATCCCTGTGGCCTCGCTGCAAATGAGGAAGAACGTGTACCAGATATAGACGTTCTTTGGGAAGGAAAGCTATTGATCTACAATGTGTTTTTCTTGTTCTGTTGTCTTACAAAACCGAAGAAAAACTGGTTTTTCAGTTTTTCTTATGAGTCTACCATTGTCTATAATTCCTCTATGTACTGCAAATAGATTACGGAAGAAGGTTAGCAAACATTTTTTCCAAAATGTGTTCACTGAAACAATTGTTCCACAAAAAGTTCCACTGGAAAGATAATTCTGTGATCAAATAGGTTTATGAAACTCTGAGTGTCATTTTGCATATTTGCATATTCATGAGGCACAGGAGCACTTCTAAACTTATTTAAGCAGGAAAATCACTTTTTGGGTTTTTGTTTTTCATTTTTTGTTTTTGAGACAGGTTCTTGCTGTCTCAAGAACCCCCAGGCAGGAGTGCAGTGGCTCAATGTCAGCTCACTGCAACCTCCATCTCCCAGGTTCAAGCAATTCTCGTGTCTCCGCCTCCCAAGTAGCTAGGATTACAGGCGCGCACCACCACGCCCAGCTAATTTTTTGCATTTTTAGTAAAGACGGGGTTTCGCCATGTTGGCCAGGCTGGTCTTGAACTCCTGGCCTCAAGTGATCCACCTGCCTCGGCCTTCCAAAGTGCTGAGATTACAGGTGTGAGCCACCACGCCTGGCCCACTCTTTGTTTTTAAGCTGAATACCTATTAACAACCCATGAAAAATAATATTTAAAATGTTAGTTTAGAGGAAGTAGCCCTGTTAACTTTACCATAAATAAATGGTAGAGCCAGGATTCAAACCTGGTATGTTAACTTTACCAGGTCTTACCATCATGTTTTGCCAGGTACAATAATTGAGCCACAATTTAATAAATATATTTCTTAAAAGAAACAATAACATATTTCAATTATATTTTCAACTGAGTAAAGATAAGGGACTTAGAACCGTTGAACTTTCCATCATCAAATTTGACGATCGAATTTGCATATTTTCAGAAAAGTATTATGACATCAAAGGGGTATAATTCTAATTTAAATTTTCTATTGTACAGCCTAGGTGACATAATTTGGGTCTGTTTTATTCACTGGTACATCCTCAACACCTAGAACAGTGTCTGGGTATAGTAGGTAGTCGATAAATATTTATTAGCTTACTAAATTATGGCATGGATAGAATACACTAATTCGGATACTTAATAGTACAAAACTTATCTAAGAATCAGGTACACAAAACACCACAACTATACTAAACCTACTTTTTTTTCTTTTATTTTTATTACTCTAAATAGACTCCCCGGCCTTATAATACCTCAAAGGAAGAGCATGTCCTTTATAATAAGCATGTTCTACATAATAAGAACAAATGTCTTTATTATATAGACATTTTTTAAAAGAAATCATTGTAATTGAGTAAGGCCTGGTCATTGAAAGTCATATGCATTACATTTAGTGAACAATGTTAAATAACTATTTTCTTCCGGCTATGCCCCTATCTGCAGCAACTCTTAGCACCTTGGGGCTGGCCTGGCTTGGGTTTGTCAGTGTCTAAAACCATGAAATGTGTCAGAGTTTGGATCATGTCAAAGTCAGACAGTGTTCAAACAGCTTAGCACATCACTGTCAAATGCCAGAATGAAGGCTTGCTGAGTCATCCTGGTATCCTTCAGGGAGCAGGAAAATGTTATACAACCTCTCTGGCCCCCAGTCATCCCTAGGGCAAATCAAACTTGGGCAAATTAATTAAGTCATACGTTCATTCAGTCATTCATCAAATATTTACTTACTGTCTACTATGTTCCCAATGGAATGCTGGGTATTAAATCACTCTATATAAGCTTCCTAATAACAACAAAAAAATTTAGTGAGTGATTACTATATACCGAGAATTGTACAAGAACTTTACATGATATCTCATTCGACCTCACAGAAACCTTCTGGGATAGCTACTCTGGTTATCCCCGGTTACAAACGAGGACACTTGCCCGTGGCCACACAGCTAGCGAGGAATGGCAAGGTTAGTTAACCACTGAGCCTGCGATTGTTTTTTCTCTTTTTTTTTTTTCTTTTGAGACAGGGTCTCCCTCTGTCACCCAGGCTGGAGTGCAGTGGCATGATCACTGCTCACTGCAGCCCCAATCATCTGGGTTCGAGTGATCGTCTCACCTCTGCCTCCCACTTGGGACTACCAGCACATGCCACCATACCCAGCTAATTCTGGTATTTTTTGTGGAGATGGGGTTTCGCAGTGTTGCCCAGGCTGTTGTCTGCAATCTTAACCACTGAGCAATAATGGACCCTGTCATTCCTAGAAGGAAGCGTATGAATCAGCATTTTTACACAAAGGGAGCTAAAATTTGTTGCACCTTCTATGTGCAGACCCTGTGTTTTATATTTTTGTATGATAGCTCATTTAATAGAATTATAAGATGAAACAGTAGACAACGGGAATTAAGAGCACGAGACTTGTTAGCTAAACTCCAGAGTTAAATCCCACCTCTTGCACATACTGTCTATGTCCTTGAGAAAATGTTTTTTCACCTCCCATGCCTCAGTTTCCTCATCTGTAAAAGGGGAAAGTATATGCAATATAGTGTCAATCAGTTAATTGTATAAACAAAATACCTAGTCATAACTGGCACATAGCAAGCACTACATGGCTTAACTATTTTTTTAAATGTAGGTAAAATGTAGTTTAAAAACACAACAAAAGGAATTTTTTTTCTATCATGGAGGAAAATGGAAGGGTTGGAGGAAAGCTAAAGTCTCACACACCACCTTGGGATGTTACACAGCTGCTATCCTCAGCTTCCAATATCACTGAGATGATGTGTCTCTAAACCTTAGGATACTTTTGGTCTCTATCAAATACACCCTCCAGCATCACCCCTTTGAGAATTTCCAGCCATTTGTACCCAACCTGTCCAAAGTTCCTGGGCTACTGCTTGGTCTTTTGGGGAGGACTCTCACTCAGGCCGTTCTCATGCAATCTATCACCTGAACACTGGACTTTGGTGAGGTCTTCACGGCCTCATATAAACACCCAGGAAGGGCAAGGTGGTTAAGTAAGAAGAATTGAGCCTACTAAATTTTAAGTGAAATACATTACAATTGTAAGCTAAAATGAGAATACACCAGGAAGAGAAGCTGTTGCTAATATCAAAGTATTACAGTTTCTTACATATCTCCTAAGAAAAAAAAATCTCTTAGACAAGATGATCCTTAGGATTGTATTTCTGAGTTATTTGTTGTGTTTTTTTCTGGAAGAGCCTGGCAATTGGTATATGATCATGCATTTAAAGAATACGTTATCATCTGGTGTATATAAAACCCTCAGTACTCTAAAGTATTCCATTAATCATTAGTCATAGCTAATAACATAACAATTCCAGCTCATCACTGTTCTGATTAAAGACTTCCAAGTGACCTACCACAAAGTTAAGAAGTCTTGGCCGGTCGCAGTGGCTGACACCTGTAATCCCCGCACTTTGCAAGGCCGAGGCAGGCAGATCACTTGAGGTCAGGAGTTCAAGACCAGCCTGGCCAACATGGTGAAACCCCGTCTCTATTAAAAATACAAAAGCACAGGTGTGCTGGCACGTGGCTGTAATCCCAGCTACTTGGGAGGCTGAGGCAGGAGAATTGCTTGAACCTGGGAGGTGGAGGTTGCAGTGAGCCGAGATCACACCATTGCACTCCAGCCTGGGTGAAGAAGTGAGACTCTGTCTCAAGAAAATAAAAAATAGAAGTCTTACCAAAGTCATTAATCTGGCCAATGTTGACACCATTCTGTGCTGAAAGTTCCAGGAGTGTTACTTGACCCTGGTCAAGTAACAGAATTCTATTCTGTGCAACAGCCTGAATTTCTTTGGCCCTAAACTACACTAAGCCTGTAGACTCACAATGCATAATAACCTGTCAATGAAGTTGAAACTGCACTCCAAATTATTGATGGAGTTGGAAAAAAATATTGATGACCGACTGAAATAGTTGTTGATGAACGAGTTACCGTATGTGGCAGCCTCACTCCATCCTTAGCCTCCTCTGTTGTTTCAGAGGCCTCTATGATTTCTAAAGTTTATTGCTAAAAATTCCAAGACTGTGTAAGACCATTTGGGGATAGGAGAGAAGGACCTAAATAAGGAATTTTTAAAAATATTATTAATTGAACAGGAAAAAATATTTATTGTGTTATAGTTTATTTCGCAACATAGCTTAAAGAAAATATTGGCATACATATTAACAATTGGGTACCTCAACTCCATCTTGCTGGACCAAGACTAGAATAGGTAAAGATAAACATTACAGAGTAGATAAGTTCCCAGGGAGTAGGGCCATATTCGTCTATACCACCAGTACCTGATTTAAAGAGGCACTTAATGCATAATTTGTATGAGGTAAAGTGTTTGCCTCAAATCACTGTGTAAAAGTCAGTGCCAACCTTGTACTTCAATAGTAAAATGTCCAATCTGCAGAACATTTACTGAAGTAACAAATTATACTTTTAGACAAATGCTGCAACTTTTCTACATAAAACTTTTCTGATTGCAGTTAAATATTTTTTAAATAAAATCAATAAAAATATTTCTCTATATATTTTGGCCTACTGGCTAACAGAATTCTGTTGGTTATTGTATTACTGAGGGTTGTGTGTCTCAGCTCCAGCAAATTGCTGCAACTTTCTGTGAATGCAACCCATATAGCCTACTGTAGATTGCACTGAGCTTGCATACATAATTATAAAGTTTTCCATAATTACGGTTTATCCAAGCATACTTTTGAAGATTTTATAATGGAGAAAATATTTGCTGGAGAAAATTCTCATCAAAACATGATTTGTAAGAATGTTGGTTACACAGTTCTTTCTCAATGCATAATACTGTGTTCCATAAATACATGTTAAAGATTGCTGCATCCTTGGGAGTTGGTCAAGTGGAAACATTATATTCAATTTTTTTTTTCAGTTTGGAAAAACTAAAGCCTTTCCTGGTTTACTATATTGAGTTGGTGACACACATTTCTGGCTCTCACAGAAGTTTGTCATCCCTACAAGTTTGTGAGCTCTAGGCAGACTGAGATTATAACTATATTTTAATTATCTTCTGAAATGATATTTATTAGTGTTTTGGCAGAAAGCTCCTAAAGCATGATATAAGAATATAATCTGTCAGCATTACCACTACAACTATTTTGGTGTTTAAAAACCTTTTATGCTTATAATTTAGTGACTTTCCAAGATCTTTGTACATCTGAGTCACTCAGGGATCATGTGAACTGTAGATTCTGATTCAGGAGGTCTAAGGCTGGGCCTGAGATTCTGTATTTTTATCAAGTTCCCTGATGCTGAGGCTGATGGTCAGTGGATCACACCTTGAACAGCAAGGACGGTATTTATATCTGCCACCATAACTTTATTAGAATACAATATAAATGCTCTTAAAATGTATATATTTTTTGAGACAGGGTCTCTCTCTATCACCCAGGTTGAAGTGCAGTGGTGTGATCTTGGCTGACTGGTAACCTCCGTCCCCCAGGCTCAAGCAATCCTCCCACCACAGCCACCTGAGTAGCTTGGATTACAGGCATGTGCCACCATGCCCAGCTAATTTTTGCATTTTTTTGTAGAGACGGGGTTTCCCTATATTGGCCAGGCTGGTCTCTAACTCCTGGACTCAAGCGATTCACCCACCTTGGCCTCCCAAAGTGCTGGGATTACAGGAGTGAGCTACCTGCACCCAGCTTCTGAGAATCTTTGAGAGTTTTTCTAAATACGCTGTTGGTGGATTTTTTTTTATTTTTACAAAATTATCCTGAAGCAGGGAATTGGTGTATAATTTGGTAGTCATGATTATGTTTTCATAACCAGAAAAAAAAATTCCTTGTGATTTTGGCAAGAACATTAAAGTGTTTTCTGAGTGTTGGTCAAAGGAGATTGATGACGAGTCATATGGCTGATGAAGATGGTAGCATTTGGAAAGGAGAAATATTTTTCTCAGCTCTGTCAGTGATATGAGGGCACCACTGAAGATTAAGAGGTCCAGAGAGAGGGGCTTAGATAGATGCAAATCCCTGACAAGTCATAGCCGAGTCCCGCATTCATGTGGCTTTTGAGCACTTGACCTGGTCATTTGCATTGTGTCTGGTTCCTCTTGTAGAGTACAAACTTTCTGAAGACATGAACCATATGTCATATTCATCTTTGTATCCCCAGCACCAAGCAAAGAGTAGGTACATAGTAGACACTCAATTAATCAATACTATTCAATAAATTCATGTCAAGGAAATATGGCTATGGTAGGCACAAAAGGATAGAGAAACTGAAGTTAAAAGTCCATTGTACACTTGAGGCTTGAGTTAAAAATGGTTTGGTCAGGGGCAGCATTTTCCAAAGTGATTTCCAAGAAATACTAGTCTCACATGATGTTCCTGGAGAAAGAGTTAATGGTCACAGCAGTTTGAGAAATACTGCATTCAGGGTCCCCCATACATGCCCCTAAGGAAGTGTGTCACATGTACTAAAGTGTTATATACCTATTGCTTCATAAAAAAAAAAGGCTAAAGTATTTAACCAAGCATTTCCCAAACTTGTCTGACATTTTCACATTCTTCATACTCCTGCATGTAATGTTGTTAATGTTTTGTGGAAGCAATGCTCTGGTTTCTATAAGGAAATGTATCAATTATTCCAATACGAGAATGCCAAGAACATTTCTCTCCCTATGGATTTCTTAACCAGCAAAAATAGGATTGCTCTTCTTTCTTCTGCACACTGTGTGCAGCAGTTGGAGGGGATTCCTGGGTTCCCTCTGCAGCTGGTGAAGACAGAAGGGCTACTAATCCCAGCCATTTCTCCCTCCACCTCTGCAGAGGTGACAGAAAGGGAAGTAAATCCTGGGACCTCCCCTAGTATACAATGGCCTGAGGCAGACCATCATATATGTGGTGTTTGTAGGCTGTTTGAACTGATTTAAACCTAGTCTTCCAATGCTGCAATCAGTTTGTCCTCTAATTCTCTGATAACCATAGACAGAGAAAATAAAATCACCCTTGGACAAAAGTGACTCTAGCCTTACACGTGTAAATCTCTAAAACAGGCTCTTTGTCAAGGATGCCTAAAGTAGAAACTAATAAAAGAAAATGAAGTTGTTCCCAATTTGTTTATTTTTCTCCTTCCTAACGCAGTGAATTGAGATTATACTTTTCAAATATAGATAAAAGCAGGAAGAATAGTATTAAAAAATTTGCACTCATCACCCAGCTTGAACAATTTTAACACTTATCAATTTATTTTCATTTATACCCTCCCACACTTTTTGTTTGTTTTCTAAACTATTTTAAAACAAACTCCAAACAGTATGCCATTTCAACTGTGAATTTTTTGCTATGTATCTCTAACTGAAAAGACGTATCTATAGCGTACTATATATGTGTGTTAGGCATATATATATGTGCACATACACAAACTCACACACATACCATACCACAAATATTCTATGCCACTATCAAACCTAACAGAATAATTCCTTAATATCATCTAATACCAAATTCATATTCAAAATTCCAAGATTATTTCAAAGATACATATACAGTGTATACAGTCAAATAAAATCAAGATCCAAACAAGGTCCTCATACATTGGGTTGTTATCTCTTATGTCTCATTTTCCTTTTTTTTTTTTTTTGTTTTTTTTTTCAGACAGAATCTCACTCTGCTGTCACCCAGGCTAGAGTGCAGTGGTGCGATCTTGGCTCACTGCAACCTCTGCCTCCTGGGTTCAAGCGATTTTCCTGCCTCAGCCTCCCAAGTAGCTGAGACTACAGGCATGCTCCACCATGCCTGGCTAATTTTTTTCTTTTTTTGTTTGTTTGTTTGTTTTAGTAGAGACAGGGTTTCACCCTATTGGCCAGGCTGGTCTCCTCCTGACCTCAAGTGATCCGCCTGCCTCCGCCTCCCAAAGTGTTGGGATTACAGGCGTGAGCCACCACACCCAGCCTCATTCTCAATTTTCTGGCAATTTTTCTTTTTTTTTTTTCACTTTTGTCAATGTTTTCTATTCTTTTTTCTTTTATGCTAAATGTATTTTTAAGGTATTTTTCAGCAGGGTGCAGTGGCTCACGCCTGTAATCCCAACACTTTGGGAAGCCGAAGCGGGTGGATCACGAGGTCAGGAGTTCGAGTCCAGCCTGGCCAGCATGGTGAGACCCCGTCTCTACTAAAAATACAAAAAATTAGCCAGGCATGGTGGCGCATGCCTGTAATCCCAGCTACTCGGGAGGCTGAGGCAGGAGAATTGCTTGAACCTGGGAGAGGGAGGTTGCAGTGAGCCAAGATTGTGCCATTGCACTCCAGCCTGGGCAACAAAGCAAGACTCCGTCAAAAAAAACAAAAGAAAAAGATATTTTCCAGGAATAATTCTAATATAATCAAAGGACCTGAAACAATCAGATTGGTAAATCACCTTTTAAAATTTGAGCAGACTACATACAAAATTAAATGTACTTAATATTTCATCCTTTAGGTTGTGAATGTCATTTATCCTCAGCTATATTTTAATGGGGAAAAAAGCAACTGATTAGCTCAGGAAGCATAATTTCTGATTAATATTTACATTTTAAATTTTTATATTTATAATTTATTATTCCTATAGCTGAGGCAGGAGTCCAAACCTGATCTACTGATTCCCAGGCACAGCAATACCCATTCTCAATAAAATAAGTGAGTCAAAACCTAAGTGTGCTGAGTTGGTACATTCTTCTTAAAGATTTGCCTCTATCCATCAAGATTTCTGAATTGCTGTCAAGTCATTAGAGTTTAGAAGACATCACCCATCTGTGTTTCATCTTACATATGCCATGATTGTGAAGAACCTTATAAAACATAATCTGATGGTTTTCAGAAGCAGAATTTGGCTTTCTTAAGAGTTTTGCTGGTTAGCCAACCCCATTTCAGGAAAGCCAAATGCTAAATAGGTCACTTCATTGGCAAAGACAGTAATTTCTGAGCCTTTATTTAGAAGAAATGAGAAAAGAAAGATAAATTGTGAGGAGAATTAGTAACACAATCTTTCAATGGCAAGTATTTCAATTGATTAACTGTCAGACCAAGCATTTCCCTAAATTCAGCAAACCAACTCAATCTGTCTTTTGAAATCCTTTTTTCAATTTGTTAAGGCTTTTTGTCTAATCAAGAACACTAAACACCTACTATTAGTTCAGGTTTAATTTGCAAGTTAGAATTATTTTCCATAGAGAAACCTATGCATTGCACGATAGCTCCACAGCCCAATTAATCAAAACTCTTAAAACAGCCAAGGAATGTGCCAGAAGGCCTTAAATAGGCACACAAATGATAAGTGAAGACGTCTTTATCATTATCTCCCAGATTTGTTACAAATATGATATTTCTTCATGCTCTGAACTTTAGATAGAGTAGCTCTCCTGTAAGCTATTTCTTCCCAAAATGGGTAAGAAACTTTTTCCTCCTTTTAAGTACAAGTTAATTATGTAATCATTCAAAATTACCAGATGTCGATTGGGGGACTCTTTGGAAAGTACGGGTTGTTGTACATCTGCAATCTCCTTTCTTAGGACATATTAAAGCAATTTAGAGTTAAAATCTCCATCCATTCATAGAAAGAAGAGGGATAAAGCTGTCGGTTTTCTAGCCACCTGGAGTACACTATTCTGCAGTGTTGATTTTGATAAAGCAACCTTAGTTTCATAAGCCACTGAAAAACTAGAATTTAACAAGCTGGCAGAACTGTGGCATCAATATGTCTTAAAATGGAGGTCAGGGAGAAGTTAAATTACTGAGCAAATGGGTAAAAATCTTTTCCCTAACGTATAGCCTAATTTTTCAGTACATCTCCAGGCAAAATTATACAGCTCCCTTCATTTAAATCATTTTATTTCTGCATTTTGCTTAATACTAAAAGGTGGATGGCAAGATGTAACACTGACATTCAAAAAGGCAGTAATATATAAGTAAGAGCATCTTCCTTGATGCAATGCTATTGTCCAAGAAGCAATCATCTCTCCTGCAGGAGAGACACAACCATTCATATTGAACATACACATTAGTCACCTCATGGTTTTATTCATCCCTGCTAATAGGCATATCTCTCAACCTCCATAGCTGTAATGGCTCCTGTCCAAATGGGCTTTCACTACACACAGGAAGCTTTCTTGCTTCTCTCTCTTTTATAACCAAAGGCCTGTGGTCATGAAGTCCAAACCCTTTGGCAGGAGGAGCCTGAGCAGTAGGTCTGATGGTCCAGGCTCGCAGCCTATATTTGGACCATGCACAAAGGAAGGAAAGACCAAAGGCCTAGCGATGTTCACAGCACATGGACATAGTAGACACAATAAATACTTATTGACCACCAGCTGACTGCATATAGTGTCTATAACTCTTTTCTTTTAAGATAAGTTAGAGGTTATATTTTTAAAAGGTAAAAAGAAACTGGATAACTAACTGTAACAGATTATAAATTGTTAGTAAAACTGGGGGTGAGGCAAAAATGGAATTCCAGTATTTCCAGAGGGTTACTAGTGAAAGAAGGTATTGCAAGAAGACTCTGAGGCTGGGGAGGGTCAAATGGAAAAACTCCCCCTGACAAAGGGATGTCCTATGCTCAGTGTCAGCCTATAGATTGGGGTCCATAGAGAAGCAGGCAAATTGTGTCTCCAAGAACTAAGGAGATGAACTAGTCCCTATTCATAAATGAAAAGAAACATGTTTTAGGGAGATTGTCTTTCTTTCATGACATCCTCATTCAATTTCCTGAAATTTAATGTCAACTTAAACCCTCTGTTTTTGAAAGCACCACAAAGAAGCACATGGAACTCCTCTGGTGTTTCTAAGACAGAGATTGTCAAAAGCACTAGGATACAGTATTGATACAGTATTACAGAGTCACCTCTCTTTTCTATAATACTATGGCAGACACTACTAATTGCCTGCTTATATTTGTTCTGACCTTTTTCCCTTGAAGAGAACCATTTTTAAAAGAACCCATTTCTTTTAAGGCAATGAGTGTAAAAAACAAAACAAAACAAACAAACAAACAAAAACCTTGTTTTCTAGTCATTTTTGCGTCAGGGGACAACATGATGAAGCAGTAGCCTAGTGAGTGGAGGTCTTGGGAGCTTGTCAACACCACACAAGGTGGATGGAATCAGTCAGCGTACATCCTTTGCCCTTCAGGCCTCCCCTTTGTCCTTTGTGGAATATGCACCCCACACTGGCTGATGACCATAAGGCAAAAGCATACATTTAAAAACTGGCAGAACTGAAAACTAAAAGGAACTGACTCCTTGGTGACACCGTAGAATGCTATACCAGCCACGGACCACCTGACTCCAGATTTTTGTATGTGAGAAAATGCAACCCCTAATGCATTTAAGACTAGACCTGAGCGGTTTCTGTTGCTCACAGTCAAACACAATGCTCAAGTGTATTGCATTTATTACTGTAATGTATTATATATATTAGCTTCTTAACATTTGGTGATGTAAAATCCTCTGGAGTAGGAATTCTTATTAAAAGACCAAAATGAATTACCTAGCATCAAAAGTTTTTCATAGTTTGAATTTTTCTCTCCCACTTAAACCACAAATCCACTGCTTCCCTCCTGCAAGTCTGTCTGGCCTCTCTTCTCCATCGGCACCACTGTGGCCTTCCCTCACCTGAACTCGTACAAAGGCTTCTGATTATTCTTTTTACTTTCAGGCTTCTTCATTAATTTACTGTCACCAGTGATCTTCCCAAAATATAAATATGATCATGTCATTTCTTATTAAAATAATAAAGTGACTTCCCATAACTTATAAGTAAAACTAAAAGCCTTAAATTTCATGTAAGGTTTTTCAGAACCTTGCAATATGGTAACTTTCTGGCCTCATTTTACCACCTTCCATCACCGTCGTCCTCCAGGCTCCCTATTTTCAAGTTCACTGAACTGCTTGCTAGGTAATATATATAAAGTGCTTTACGCAGGGCTGGCAAAAATAGGCACTTATAAAATGTGGCTTGCCTTCCTCAGCCCTTCTCCAAACATACCATACACTTTCACACCTTCTGAATTTACATATAATTTTGCCTAAAATTTCTTGTTCACCTTCCCTCTCAGAAGACCTTCTATTCAGAGTTCAAGACTCAGCTTCAATGCTCTGGGCTCTATGTGTCTCTGATGATGTAAAGTCAATTTTCATGTTTTGTACCTTCCTTCCCTATCGTAGAACAGAAAAGTTACTAAAAATGTATTCATAATTACACTTAATTTACTTCAGATAAATTAGGTTTCCGGTAGCTGACCATTAATAATAATGCACTGTTAGAGAAGATCAAGGAAGATTCTTTAGAACTGGCCATAGTGGGAAACAACTGTGGCAGATTCCCAGTAACTCAAAGAAAGTTAAAATATTCATTTCTACAATGGTGAGAGGCAAGGGTAATATCCAATGCAGCAAGTGTAATTAATTTAATTAATTCAATATTTATTAAGCACCTAACATATGGACCTAGGTAGAGTTGCTCACAAAGCAGACAGATTGATATAAAGCAGAGGTTTTCTGGGGCAGTTGGGAGAGAGAAAAAAGTGTAAGTGAAATGAGGCAAGAAAGTTGACGGTATAAATAAGAATATGAGTTAGCAGGTCCTTGAGTTCAGATTGGACAAGGAAGGAAATGAAAATCCAAAGAGGCTAACAAAATTGAGAGAAAATCGAGATTCAGCACCTGAATGTCTCAATGCAGACAAAAAATCAGTGCAGTGGATATAATGAGGGAAAATACTAGAACAGGAGCTCATGATGAGGAAATGGTAAGTCTGAGCTGAAGGTTTCAGTGCCAAAGCAATCCCTGGGGAAGAAAACACCCACTGAACGATCATGGGTATGGAGTGGGGTGAGGGTTATAAGTTATTGGAGGTGAGGAAGACAGGGCACCATGAGGCTAGAATGTTGCGCATTTGCCAAAGTTAGACAGAGAAGTCTTCCGGGATAATGTCTAGACCTGGGGTAAAGAGAAAGAATGTCAGTCAAATGAAAAATTTTATGTATTTGTAGAAAATTGTCTGTTGGGAAGCACAGAGGGTAGTAGAGTTGTAGAGTTCAACTCTCACAGGGCAAGGAGTATTTATACAATGATGGAGGAACAATGTTTTGGAACTAGCACTGGGGATTCTCTCCCCCTCCATATCACTCACACACATGCACCAACACAATGCTGATAAGGAGGAATAATAAGTTAGGTTGAAATGGCTAAGGGAAATTGTATGCTTGGGAGAAAACCAGGTTTAAATCAATTTCAAGAAGTTGTAATGAGTCCTCTGTGAAGATGATTAAGATGATGGAATTTTTGTTCATCATGAAGTGGAATTTCTTGGAAATATAAAATATTGCAAGAGAATTGAATAGTAGGAGGCTGCCCAGGGGAGAGGAAACACAGAAAATCCTTGGCATAAAAATATGGAAAGAATAGATAGCCCAAGGAGTTCCTTTTTGGCAAGGATGATGTGTTATGAGGCACCCTGGAATTAGCTGGCATCAAGGTTTTAAGGAACCACTGGGACAAGTGCTTTGAAGCCTGGCTCAGGCTGAGCCACAAGTATCAGGACAGCTAATGTTAGCCCTCTGGTGCCTTTGCTCCACATTCATATGTAAACTTTGTTAAGAAGTTGTCTTGGTGTCTCTCATAAAATTCCAACCCAGGTAGATTGGAATTACAATTACATAGTCTCCAGATATGCACCTCCCAGTGGAAAACTCTTAATGATGGCTCAAGCTTTTGAAGAAATATATTGGGCCCTGGATTGGGTCTCATCTCAGGGATGCCCCTGGAAGCATCAGAGGTGAGATTCAGGAAAAAGAGACTCTCCTTTTCAAAGGCATGAAAAGCTCAGAATATCAACTTATTGTTGAGTCTGACCCATGGGAAGCACAAGATATTGTTGAATGAACTGATATGGATTGTAAGTTTTACCTCTCTATTAGAAAATAGAAGTTTGGATAGTACATTTCCAAATTGCTGAAAAGGACAGTGGGACATACATGTCATTCTTTCTGGCTTCCCTACATCTGAGCCACTTTCTAACTGAGGGAGTTCCCATTTTATAAGTTAGAGTTAGAAACAAATGCCATATCCTCATTTTTGCAGCCTCCCTTGGGGGTCAGTAGTATGTTCAAGACCTAGGCTCAGCCAACAGGATGCAACTTTGCAGAATTTATATTGGGATCTGAATGTGCAATGGTAAAAAAAATTTATTTTTGTGGCAGGGGCTATGGAAGCAAGATTAATTTCCCAAAGCAGTACTGGTGGCAGTGACAGTAGCAGCACCCGGGGCTCCATGCTTGTGGCATCTGCAGTGTGAGTTGTAGGGTGCTGTGGTTAGTGGCAGTGGAAGCTGTGTTCTCACCCAGCCAGTTCTGCAAGTGATTTGTGCCATTGTTACTGACCACATATCCTCTGATCGTGGTTTTTCATCTCATATGATTTATATCCAATATCCTTTTAGTAAATTCAATTTCTCCTTAAATCAAATAGATTTGGTTCCTTATTCTAGCAACTAAAAACCCTACTGATGCAGATGTTTGAACCAGAAGTGAGATGCTGAAAGTAACAAACTAAAATGAGCAAATGCGTAAATGGAAGAGGTGCTGTAGAAAGCACTGAGAGACGTGGCTGGAAAGTTGTGACTTTTTTGAGGTTATAAAGCAATCAGTTAAACCATCTGTTGCTCTTGAACACAGACCATGGGCCTAGGGAGACATCGGGCTTAGGGGCAGTGGCAGGAACATCAGTGAATGCCTTTCAGTGGGTTCCATGGGGAAAGTAAGTTAAGACTAAGGCTGTACCAGCCAGGCATGGTGGCTCACGCCTGTAATCCCAGCACTTTGGGAGGCCGAGGTGGGCAGATCATGAGGTCGGAGATGGAGACCATCCTGGCTAACACCGTGAAACCCCGTCTCTACTAAAAATACAAAAATTAGCCCGAGTTCGCGCCACTGCACTCCAGCCTGGGCAACAGAGCGAGACTCCATCTCAAAAAAAAAAAAAAAGAAAAGAAAGAAAGAAAAAAAAAGGACTAAGACTGTACCATCTTAAAGAGGGAAGCAAGAAATTTAGCAGCAGCAGATAAATTTGAGCCAATAGACAAGCCTAATCTTCCAGACATGTCCTAAACAATTTTTATAAAGTCATTTCTGCCTGACAAAGATGGCAAAGATTGGATTATGGGTATTGCCTTCCCACCTGAGGTTATTGTTTTAAATTGACTCAGGGCAGAGGTCATTAATCTGAGGTCTAGGAGGACCGGCATCATGTAGAAGTCCCTGGAATGGAGTCAGGAATTCTCAGACTCACAGTCTATTTCTAGAAAAGATCGTTGGCTGTGTTATTAGCCCATGGAATTGACTGGAAGCACCTGAAGCCTATTGAGTTCGTACAGGAATTGTATTACCAAGGAAAGGCCAAGGTTAATAAACAATGGCCTATGATCTCTCAGACAGTAAGGCAATTCCCTGAGCTCCTAAACTCCCACCAACTGGATATAAAATACTAAAGCTATATAACCCCAGAAAGGGCATTTTCCCCAATACTCATCTTCAGTATTGCCATAAAGGAGAATTATATTGGTCTGGATAAGGTAACTGCCATAACAAAAAGACCAAATCTTTAAATGTCTCAAACCCCAACAGGAATTTATTTCTTATTCATGTAACAGAACTGAGCAAGTGAAAAGGTGGGTGGTGCAGGCTTCATCCATCTGGTAATGCAGGGATCCAGGCTGAAAGAAGTTGTTGTACTACATTCAACACACATATTTTAAGTTTATCAGCTATCTCCACTGCCTTGAGGTGGAAAGGGGAAAAACAACAGCACATAAGCACACAGGCTGGTGGTTTTAGGAGCCCAGCCTACAAGTGATGCATGGCACTTCCACTAATATTCTATAAGATAGAATTCAGTCTAGATGGCTACAACTAAATGCAAGAAGGGCTGGGAAAGGTGGCCCAGCTGCATGCCCAAAAGAAGGAAGAAAGAAGCTTCGGAGAGAAGTTAGCCATTTCTACAACAACCAAGAAAAGAAAAACTATTCCTGAGACTAGAACTGGAGCTGTACAAATGAGTGAAAAGGTTCCTTTCTCCACTGGCATGGTAGGAAGTCCTTGCTGCTCTCAAGAACTTAAGTGCTATGGACCAGTGATGATTGTCAATCATTTCCAGTTGTCTCCTTCTCAGAATTGGAGTTGATTTGGGAGTGAGGGAAGCTTAGGGGAAGCATTTATTCTATTTTTATTGGATATGCTAGTAATAAAAACTTGTTTCTAAGCTATGTGTTCACACACCATGATGGAAAAAGTCAAAATTAAAAGCCCCAGAATCTCAGAATGGGTATTGTCTGATGAGACTGTGGGTTCCTTCAGAGAGGTACGGGCGTATTTCATGTAGACGTGGGCACTTTTTCCAAGTACAAATAGGACGAAGGGTATATATTTAGATGTTGATCAGAAAAAGGGTGGACCTGAGGCAGGTATTTTTTATTGCCACCCCAACATCAATTACTCTGCTTCCTCCATTTGGGCAGAATTAAAATTTTATTCAGGTCGCCCATGCTCTTCTTGACTTTATTTAGTCAACCCGGGCCATCTCATTCCAATTGCCTGTGGTATGGGGAAAGGCACGTGATGCATTCTGGCCAATGAAACACAAAGGGAAATCTGTGGGATGGCTTCAGATAAAGGTTTCACTACTCATCAAAAAGACTCATGGAGAGAAAGAGATCTTTTTTCCATTTGATCTTATTGTGAAAGCATAAGATATCTGGAACTGTGCCAACACTGTATGACCATGAAGGCAGATGGACTGTGGTGAAGTCTACAGGGGCGTTAACAGCCAAAAGATGGGGCAAACTTCAGCTACAATTATATCATTAAGCCATGACATCAATTGGCATTGGAGCCACTCTGATAAGAGTCTCCAAACTTCTTATTATATAGAATAATATATTTTTATTAGTGTTTAAGATCTTTCTGTTACTTTTATCTGAAAGCCTCTTTCCCAATAAAGGGTTTTTTTGTGCTATTCAATCCATATATTCCATATCACACATGGAAAACCTACAGTTTAGTGCCTTTTTACAGAAAATACCTTGTTGATATCTGATAAATGTACACTATCTTTTGTAGATGAAGACAGCACTGGGAACACATGTCAGTAGAGTGTGTGTGTGTGTGTGTGTGTGTGTGTGTCGTGAGGAAAATAAATTTGGATTGATCCATCTACATTGTCTCAACCAGTTCTCCTTGTAGCTGAAACATATATTTGATAGCCATTTGGCTGGGGTCAATGGTATAGTGCTTGATTATGGACTGAAGTAATGTCAGAATAAAACCTACTGTCTTAGCCTCATTAGAATGGTGGGCCAATTATCAGAAGTTATGCTCACTCTGAGAGTAAACAACTTCATTACAAGCCCTTCAACATGGAGGGAATTGAGAATTCTCCCTCAGGTTCTATTATACACTAACTATATTGCTTTGGACAAATAAATAGCAACAGAAATAATTCTTTGCAGATGTGGGTGGCTTACATGGTATTTTAAGATCCAGTGTTTGTTTTTTTGTATTTTGTGGGAGTCTTTTTAGCAGCTGAACATTTCCTACAAATGTTTCTGAAGTTACTGGAGACAATTTTCTTTCCATTCCATTTCATTATACTCTACTTCCACCTTTCAATTATTGTGAATATGTAATGATGAAAATAACTACTATAAATAATACATTGACTTTTTATATCATCTTTCCAACAAAGAGAAAAATTCATGCTGAGCTGCAGGGAGAACCGGGTGGCAGCTGCTGCAATGCCTCCACAGGCAAAGATGTATAGACTGTTTGGGAGGAAGCGGTTTTCCCTCCTATTTAGAATGAGATGGGAGGGAATGTGTTTAGCAGCTAAATTGAAGTTCCAGAGTCCCTCCGCTCACTGCCTACTTTTTTAAACATGCCCAGTCTCCTAACTGGATGTGTGGAACGTCTGAGAATGCCAAGAGCAGCCTTCCTTTGTGTTTCCTTTTTAGGAGCTTAAGGACCCTCAAGAAGATAGTGGAGGTAACAGTGCACCAGACTTGGGCAGAAAATGTGATAGTTTCACTCTTTGAGCAAGGCATTAATTCAGTAAAATCTTAACTCCCCTATTCTCAGGAGATGGATCCTTCTGGAAACAACATGGGATTTGGCATCAGGAGACCTGGTTTGAAGGCCCAGCTTTGTCGATTACGAGCTTTATAATTTGCTCATGTAACTTCACCTATCTCTAAAACAAGGTACTGGCTGGGCATTGTGGGTCACACCTGTAATCCCAGAACTTTGGGAGGCAGAGGCAGGAAGATCACCTGAGGTCAGGAGTTCGAGACCAGCCTGGCCAACATGGTGAAAGCACATCTCTACTAAAAATGCAAAAATTTGCCGGGCATGGTGGCTCACACCTGCAATCCCAGCTATTTGGGAGGCTGAGGCAGGAGAACCACTTGAACCCAGGAGGCAAAGGCAGCAGTGAGCCGAGATTGCCCCACTGCACTCCAGCCTGAGTGACAGAGTGAGACTCCGTCTCAAAAATAAAATAAAATAAGGTACTAGGAACCAAATTATTCATTCATTTATTTATTGGCTCTCTCATACCACCCTTTTTCAAACATGTGAAGCAGATTAGGAAAATTTGTATATGCAATAATCATCTGAGGCTGATGAAACAGAAATAGAAAACCAGAACAAAGAAAGAGAGAAAGCATGCTAACTACAAAGATTGATATAATGGCCAAACATACTCATTGTATTAGAATCTGAGGTTCCTAGAAGCCAGGGAATGCAGGGCAAAACAAGGGTACATATATGTGGTTTACATTAAGGAGAATGAATATCAGTTCCTTTGAGGAAGGATAGTATATTTCTGGTATTGTATTCTTAAAGAAGTTGAAAATTTATAACGATAATAATGCCCAATTCCCAAGATTGTTAAGTGTGTTAAATATATAAAAGCCTTTATAAATTGTAAGCTATTATTTTAACAGCTAATAATAGTGATATGTAAATATTAATTAAATATATTTCCGGACACTGACATTGAAAGCAGAGAGCAGAATGTTAACATTTTAATTATTTCCCATGAAAACCATTTTTATAATATACTCTATGCTTTCTATAATGTACTTTCTTCTTCTTGCGCAGATCATATAGGGCGTAATTACGCTTTTAGAAGGGATTTGAGAGTTCATCATCATAAATATCAATGGTTGTGGTTTGCAGTGTCTATAGGTGTAAATGTGGATGTTAAAAAATTATGTGCTGTATAAGGATGAAGGCAAAGGACTATAGCAGTGGATCTGCCACTTGCTTTCTAGAAAAAAAAATGGCAATATTTGTTTGCTTTTAAACAATTTGACTCTCATAAAGGTGGAGTGAAAAATGTGCAGCTGTTGACCCCTTGGGCAGTGTAACACAGCTGCTTTTCTGTAAAACTAATTAGCAAGCCTGAAGTTGAAGCAAGCAGCCTTCTCCCAAGTGGCTTTCTCACCCTCCAGACAATCTTCATGTTCATGGTGTCTCTTCCTCCTCAACGCCATTCAAGGCATTATCTTTTGTTTCTGCATCATAACTCAATGATCCAGGGGCATTTTCTTGTCAGCTTATAGTTCCTCTTTTACTTAATTTACACAGTATGAGGATGGGATATGTAAAAGGGATATACTTCAATATTTCAAAAAGTTATCCAAGGGCAAAGAGTGGTAGCTTATTTCTAAGCCTATCAGCAATATTAATAACATCTACCAGTTGCATATCATTTTAAAAGCTTACCGAATGCTTCTTTATACATAGATTTATTTAATCATCACAATTGCTCTCTGTATTAGTTATTATTCTCTCCATTTTACAAATAGAATAAGATATACCTGGATTTTAATTCTAGCTCTGCAATTGTTTAATATTTTTTATGGATCAATGTCTTCATCTATAAAACAGGAATAAAATAACTACAAAAATGAGATCACATTTGTGACGTACTTTTCACAATGTTAGTGTTAGATGGTGAAAAGTAGATACATAATAATAGTGATTATTATTTTATTATCTGAACAGAACTCTTGCAGCCACAAATAACATCATAAATTGCATATTCTAAATATTATAATATCATTGAAAGTCATAGCCATATTCTATTAAAATACTTTCTTGGGTAATATTATTTTCTTAATAATACTTTCGTCCATAATTAGTCAATAACATGGATTTTTTTTTAAAGTTCCCAAACACTAACCCATTTCCTGAGAATAAACTATACAATCTAAGACTCTTGCTTTGAAGCTACCAAAAGGTAACTAAATCATTAAAAGCATTGCTGTCTCCAGCCACGGCTGGTTTGTACTCTCTGCACAGCCAGGAAACGCAAGGCAGCAACAATACTCCACAAATATGAATTTCAATCCCTAATACTTTCACATTATAGGAACTTGTAACATTAGTGCACAAAAGCTTTTCTTCTTTGATTCTTCCCAAAGGCATCCGATTATCTTCTAAGTATCTTCTGGATTAGAATTGCCAAAATAACCCACCTTCTTGAAGCTGGTAAACTGTTTATAGGTGATTTATCTGAACAAAAGCCACAAACATTCTTCAGCAGCCTCCTAACTCACTCACTCTTTGCCACCCGTTATTTCCATTTCTAATAGCATGCCTCATTTTAAATTGCCAGCGATAGCCTTGAGAAGGCTCACACACTGCAGTCACTGTGTTTGCTGAATATAACCCAGCCTTTTCAGCCAGCACTAGGTCAGACTTGGGGAACGATTTGATCTTTTCACCAAGAGGCACATGGTCTCTGTGTCGAATATCACCAGTGGACTATTTCACAAGTTGTTGCACCCAGGTTGGCATGAGGACTGGGCAGAAGTCAAAGCTCAGAGTCAGTGTTAGGCACACGCAAGTAAACATTGACAGCCAAGCACTCCTGTGCCAAAAGAAAGTTGTAATATGGAGAGGGAGATAAGACATGGAGCCAGAGTCCAGTTAGGGGTCAGAGGACAGGAGCAGGCTGCAGAGCAGCTGAAGGGGGTGTCCCCTTGCTAAAGCTGTGCATATTGGGTCCCCTGTGAGAAGACGGGCAAAGAATGGCTCACAGATACCATTTAACACAGCCAGAGATGCAAAGAATTCAAACAGCCACCGTTTCAAAGCCTTGATGGGTGATCAGGTAAATACTGCTACAATTCATTGGCTTAAAGCCAGTTCATATAATGATAGTTACCTCAATTTATATAGGAAATGAAAGATGCACGCTGTTTTTGTTATAATCCCTCCAACTAATTTTGGAAAATTTTGAATTCTAATAGATTTCTTGTAAAAATGTACCAGTTGGGAACAATATAAGGATTTTAGCCAATTTGTCTAAACATTCTTCCACTTTAATTTCATATTTTTAAGACATGCTCATGATAACTTTAGTGTCTTGCATTCTTTAATGTATACTTTTATAAACTATATGCATGTATTAAGTAAATTAACAAGTACCCTGTTTGCTCCCATTTAATGAGGCATTGCTGTTTTGATAATAAGAAAGAAAAGACCTGTTATGATTTTACGATGTAGACATCAGGAACAATGAAATGCAATGGAGGATTGAATTCAGCAGAGGATTAAATTAAACACGAGATTAAGTATAAAACCACAGTACCTGGCATATGTTAGCTACTTGGTTGATATTAGCTCCTTTTAGAGAAATGAGAGATTCATTTCAGTACCAAATTGACGGGCTTAATGTTTGAAATACCTCAGACTCACCAGATCTTTGCTAACGTTTCATTTCACTTTGAATCCCATCAAAATTTTTATGATGTGGAGAGGAGGTGGGAAAGTAGATTTTTAAAAATATTTCTCTTTAGAACCAAACTGTTCCAGTTTATTTTATTTTCTCCCTAAATCCAGTTAGAAACAGCGTCTAGGAAAAGGAGCTATTTCCACTTGACCTTATATTGGTTCCCTTACACCTAATACTAAACAGCTATTCTTCTGTCCTATCCCCTTTGACCTCTAGAAGCAAAAAAGTGAGTTATACCAGATGTTCCAACGCTTTCCTCTCCCCATAGAACCTGCTAGACACATGGAAGCTAGTTAAATTATGCTTTAATGCATTCTTTGCTTGAGCATCTCTATATGCCTTAGCTGGACAGATAAAGAGGCAAAGAATAAAATGAAAATAAACAAGATACAGAGTCAAAGTGTGTGAATGTAAAAGTAGAGACTAGAATTTATTAGAATGAAAGAGTTCAAGGTGAGCAGAGAGAAGGATCAATACATAGCACTAGTTTTGTGTAGGAAGAAAATATGGTTTTGTTTGTCTACACTTGCTTCTGCATGATTACAAAGGCACAATATCAGTCACAAATATTTCTGAAGACAGCGAGAGAACAGAGAAAACCAAAGTGTGCGTCTTGGGTGAAGGAAGATGATAGAAGCCTGGGTGATATAAATCAGTGAGATAACTCAGCTTCAGTGGGAGAAGAGCTAATTATTTGAGCATATATTTGAAAGAGGTTAAAGAAGGTGCAGAAGAATACCAATGAACTACTGTAAGCATCAAATGTGTGGCGCTGTGTATTTAATATTAGAACAAGTAGAGGTTGAGTCATAGTCTAGTAGACAAAGAAAAGTAGGGGGGAAATCCATGCAGAAATAGGATTAAAGAGAAAATAAGTAATAAAAATACATGTAGATAGGGGAAAATATAAAAAATGACATCGGGAGAACTTATATGTCGGTTTTCTAATGGGAGTGAGCTACTTAAGTAGGAGTAATCATTCCACTCTTCAGTATCTACTTCTGGCAATCATTTGTTAGTTGCAGTCTTACACATGATTTTACTGGAAGCTTTCAGTCTCTGAATCATCCTTAGATAGAGCATTCCATTTGTTATCTTTTAGGGTGTCTTTTAGGTCTTAAAAAGCAGGTCTTGGCCAGGCACAGTGGATCGTGCCTATAATCCCAGCACTTTGGAATGCCAAGGCAGCAAATCACCTTGAGCCCAGGAGTTTGAGACCTCCCTAGGCAACATGGCAAAACCCTGTCTGTGCAAAAAATGCAAAAATTAGCTGAGCATTGTGGCAAGCATTTGCAGTCCCAGCTACTCGGGGGCTGAGGTGGCAGGATCACCTGAGCCTGGGAAGTCAAGGCTGCAGTAAGCTGGGATCGCGCCACTGCTCTCCACCTTGGGCCATGGGAGTGAGGCCCTATCTCAAAAAAAAAAAAAAAAAAAAAAGGTGTTTATGCATTAGTTCAAAATCCTGTGCAATCGATCCATCCTGAACTAACAACCAGCAATTAAACACTTTCTCCAGATTTTATACATAATAGATCTCATAGATGTAACAAGTCTTTCTGTGAGTTGACCATTCAGTAGTCATTATATCTTTCCTCCCTGCAAACAGAAACTAGATTTTGCAATGGGCAGAGGTCCTCTAACCTCAGGCAATGTGGGATCCTAACATAGCCCCAAGGAATGAGATATGATTGGTCTAGGCCATTCATAATAATCTCATTCTCTTCTGTGAATGGTTGGTCCAGAGGTGGCATGTGAAGGAGTTGTAGCTAATGAGACATCAGGGAAACCTGGCATTTCCCTTCCTCCTCCAAAAGAATACAGTAGTAGTTTATCCCCTCCTGTC